>NC_000013.11:78713787-78866627 GCF_000001405.40 Homo sapiens
GCCTTCCTTTCTGGGAATATTAATAACAAAACAAGAGTCATATTTCTGTTATGGATTTTGAAGACATCGTGTAAGAAAGACAGAGTTAAAATGACAATAATTTATAAATTAAAACTTCTCCCTTATTGTCTACAAAGTTCCCCCCAACTTTAAAGTTTTAGGCCAATTTTAACAAATACTGTGCTGTTTCAGTTTGCAGTAATGAATTTAAATTTATTCATCAGCAAACATTTCCATGTCTCTGTTGATAGAGAGTCCACAACTCATTCTCTTGCATTCAGCCTTCATTATTTCAGCCAGTCTTAAACTTCACCATTCATATGTGAAATCCTGTACCTTAGAAAAAGAGCTATATTATGATTTATAAACTTAGGAGTATGGCTCAATTCTTTCCCTGAAATTCTTATTTGATTTAGCAAGATTGAGCCGTCTTCCATGAGACAATATTAAGTACGGTACGTTTATTTGTAATGCGTCTTCTATTCTTTTGCCACAAACCTACAAAACAGCTCACCATGTGCAATCCTGTGCCAGACTACTATATTTATCTGCTGTATTTATTTGAGATCATGCCAATATATTTTAGTTTGCTATTGATAGGGATGGTCACATACAATTTACTCCCCTCAGCTAGATATTCATTTAGGAGAAATTTAGTAAATAAAAGCCTGGTAGGAAGTGATATTCAGCATAAATGCCAGCCTCTATGATCTTTTGCTGAATTATAGCTATCATTTGGAAGTGGTAGTAGAGGGAGGTGGGGAAGCCAGCAATTTTCTATTGTTTTTCAGCATTGTTTCTCATTATTCCAATCACTGTCTTAGTGCTTAGTCAAAAAAAGTCACAAGAACTTCACTTGATTGATGCTGTCAGGGAACTTATTTGTCTGTTTCAAGGCTCCACTGTGTGGTGCAGGACAGATCTATTTTACCATTCTTTTAGCGCTTGTCACATGGACTCAAGCAAGTTTACTCCTTTGAAGATCTGAGATACTGAACCAAAAGCAACTTTTGATTATTTAAAACAGAGGTTTTCCTCAAAGATTTCTTCCTGTGCTTTCCTGGTGTGGGAGAGGCTTTGTGGGTAAAGCAATTTTTTAATGAGCCTGTTTAAGCTGTTAAGTAACCAATCCTTTTGAATGGGGGCCAAGAAAAATACATTATTTTTCCACAGATAATGTCACACCATAGTGAATGGTGGTAATTAACATGAAGTTCTCTTGTGATCTTATTGGTGAGAGGATGTAGGCACTGTGAAGCCATGAGAAAGAAAGAGGTAGAGGCTTACTTTTTAAATTCTTTGGTCATACTTATTCTTGTATTGCACACCCAGCACTAATGATGTGTGGGTGAAATAATATTCCACATTAGAAATACTGCCCTTATTTTTACTTTAAATTTTTAGTTATATTGATGCATGCTTTATTGGGTGATATTTTTCATGTATTGAAAATACGGATATCTGTCTGCTTGCCAGTACTACTAGCCTTCAAGCCAAATAAAATAAAGACCAGTTTTGGCTGCAGAATATTTCTCTGTCTTTCTGACACTACTTAGAGATATGTATGAATAAAAATGGGTCCAGATTAAAGTTTGGACTTCTATCATACAAAAGACGAGAATCCCATAACGCCAGGACACTATCCAAAGCTTAGTGGGCTATGGAGAAGGTTATGGTGGCTCTCAGTACTAGCAAAAGAAGCTAGTGGCTCTGCACCTTGCCCAGCAAACACTCGGTGACTTCAGGACTAGCATGGCACTTTTGGGGAGATGTGTGAAATTCAGTATGCTGAACTCTTGTTAGTACATCTTTACTGAATGAATGCCTACTATGCCCAAAGGTGCGGGGCTAGGCATTATAGGGGTTCAGATAAAATTGAAGATATGGTTTCTGCCCTCTGAGGAGTTTACAATGTTGTTAAGGAGACAAATACTCAAGAAGGATAAAGTATAGGCTAAGAATGGACAGGTTTTGAGTGAATGGCAAGGCATCAAGGGCTGTAGGACACCAGAGTGGTTACCACAAGCGGGGATATCTGGTCAGGTTTCAGGTAGAAGAGCTGGATAGGAAAGTCTACTTCTGGAGAAGAGTGAAGGATGACAGTCAAGGGGCTGAAGTGAAGGATATGATGGGGGAATTTTAGGGAAGTTCCTCAGAATCAAATGAATCCCTATCCATTCTGTAACTTAGCGGGCAACTTAGTGACATGTTCTAGTGGGCACATTCCTCCAGAACATCATTTCTGTGGTAATATTGAAAGATACAGATGGGCTGGAGGCTGATTTTCCAGGCCTAGGAAATTAATAACTCACTTGTATTTTAAAGTCTTGGGACAAGATTTTCTATCTATGGCCAAATTCTTCTGGAAGAATATACTTAGCTCCATGCAGGCAGATTCAGCTAGTAAAACTGGACATTTTCTCCATCATTTATTGAATATAATTTCTTTTGACCAAAGTAAAACCTTTTTTTTTTTTTTTTTTTTTGAGACAGAGTCTCACTCTGTCACCCAGGCTGGAGTGCAGTGGCACGATATCTGCTCACTGCAAGCTCCGCCTCCAGGGTTCACGCCATTCTCCTGCCTCAGCCTTCCGAGTAGCTGGGACTACAGGCGCCCGCCACCGCACCTGGCTAATTTTTGTATTTTTAGTAGAGACGGGGTTTCACCGTGTTAGCCAGGATGGTCTCAATCTCCTGACCTAGTGATCCGCTCGCCTTGGCCTCCCAAAGTGCTGGGATTACAGGCGTGAGCCACCGTGCCCGGCCAGTAAAACCTTTTCTTAATGAACACTGGTGATTCAATGCACAATAGATCCTTTCACAGTCCAAGGAAAATTGAAGAATGCCAAAGCAGTCCAGACAAACACAAAAGAAGTACCAACAAAACTCTGCGAATATTTCTTGCAAATAAGGGTTTTACCTGTTTTTGAAAACCTGAAAATATAGTTAAGTACTGAGAACTTCTTTCCAGCGACTGGTTCTGTGGCCTTCCTTTTAAAACTTCATTGATTTCTTTTTTAAGCTTTCTTCAAAGTTAACTTTTCTGCATTCGTTTTTTTTTTTTTCAAAGCATGCCCGAGGGGAAAAAAGTATAATAATCTGGGTAGCTTCTTTTTATAAAAATTAAGTTGTATATATTTAAGGTGTACAACATGATGTTTTAATATACTTCTAGGTGGTGAAATGGTTACCTAGAAGTATATTAAAATGAAATGAAAGTGAAAGAAATGAGCATGTCTATCATCTGATCTAGTTACCCTTTTGTGTGTGCTACTCTCTTGGCAACAACCTCAAAAACAACACAATATTATCAATGAAAGTCCTCATATTGTCTATTAGATCTCTAGACTTATTCCTCCTACATATTTGCAACTTTGAATTCTTTGACCTACATCTCCCAATTTCCACCTCTGCCTACCTCTGCCTACTTCCTCCTGGTAACCAAAATTACATTTTTTTCTATGTAATTAACTTTTATCTTACCTTTTTAGATTCAACATATAAGTGAGATAGATCATGAAGTATTTGTCTTTCTGTGTCTGGCTTATTTCACTTAGCATAATGTCCTCCAGGTTCATCCGCAGTTGTGACCAATGGCAAGAATTGTTTTTTTTTTTTTTAAGACCAGATAATATCTCATTGCATATATATAGTCACGTGTTGCTCGACAACTGTGATACCTTTTAAAATGCATCATCAAGTGATGTTGTTGTTGTGCAAACATTACACAGTGTACTTACACAAATCTAGAGGGCATAGCATACTACACACCTAGGCTATATGGTATAGCCTATTGCTCCTAGGCTGTAAACCTGTACTGCATGTTACTGTACTGAATGTTGTAGGCAATTGTCACATAATGGTAAGGATTTGTGTATCTAAATGTACCTAAACATAGAAAGGTACAGCAAAAATATGGTATAAAAGATAAAAAATACACTTGTATAGGGCATTTACCTTGAATGAAGCTTGCAGGACTGGCAGTTGCTTTGGCTGAGTCAGTGGATGGTGAGTGAATGTGAGGGCCTAGGACATTACTGTACACTACTGTAGACTTTATCAACATTGTACATTTAGCCTACACTAGACTCATAAAGATATTTTTTCTTCAATATAAATTAACCTTTGCTTACTGTGACTTTTTACTTTACAAACTTTTAAAAAACTTTCTGACCCTTGCAATAACACAAAACACACACACCTTGTACATCTGTACAAAACATTTTCTTTATTTGTGTCCTTATTCTGTAAGATTTTTTACTATCTAAAAATTTTTTATTTTATATTTTGCCTTTTAAACTTTTTTGTTAAAAACTAAGACACATACACACATTAGCCTAGGCCTCTACAGGGTAAGGATCATCAATATCACTGTCTTCTACCTCCACATCTTGTCCCACTGGAAGGTCTTTCAGGTTCAATAACACATGGAGCTATCATCTCCTAAGATAACAATGCCTTCTTCTGAAATATCTCCTGAAGTAGTGGCCCGAGACTGTTTTATAGTTAACTGTTTTTTCTTTAATATAAATAGAAAGAGTACATGCTAAAATAACAATAAAAGTATATTACAGTACATACATAAACCACTAACATAGTCTCTTATTATCATCATCAAGTATAAATATATATAGTTTTGAGATAGGGTCTTGCTCTGTCACCCAAGCTGGAATACTGTGGTGCGATCATGGCTCACTGCAGCCTCGACCTCCCTGACCCAAGCAAATCTCTTACCTCTGCCTCCCAAGTAGCTAGGACCACAGGTACGTGCCACAATGCTGGGCTAGGTTTGTTTTTTTTTTTAATTTTTAATTTTGTAACATAGGGTCTCCTTATGTTACCCAGGCTGGTCTGGAACTCCTGGGTTCACATGATCCTCTTGCCTTGGCCTCTCAAAGTGTTGGGATTACAGGTGTGAGCTGCTGTTCCCAGTCTATATAATTCTATGTGCTATATTTTATACAACTAGCAGTACAGTAGGTAATGCATTGTGGTATGCTACGTACTGGGAATAGGAATTTTTCAGCTCCATTATAATCTTAGGGGACCATCGTCTTATGTGAGGTCCATCATTGACTGAAATGTTATTCAGTGCATGACTGTATAACACAATTATTTCTCCATTCATCCACTGATGGACACTTTGGTTGTTTCCATCTCTTGGGTATTTTGAATAATGCTGCAATAAACCTGAAAATGCAGGTATCTCTACGAGGTGGTGACTTCATTTCCCTTGAGTATATACCCAAAAGAGGGATTGCTGAATCATATGGTAGTTGCATTTTAAATTTATTTGGGAACCTCCATACTCTTTTTTGTAACAGCTACACCAATCTGAACAGCTTCTTTTTAATTCTCTTATACACATTGCTATATACTATACCCAACTATACTCTCTTTATTTTGTCATATACTAATTCAAGATTAAGTTTCAGAAATTATTTGTTGGTATAGATTTGCATTTTTATTATGGGTCCCATGGCATTTAGTGTCATGAAGATATTAAAAGTATAGTCTTAACATAATCCTCAGTAGGCTTCAATAGCATTAGTGAATTTGGGGCTGAGACTGCACCTATAGTATTTTAAACACAGGACTTTAAAGAATATAATATATATATATTTGTACACACACACGCACACACATTGAAATGGAACCCATGTATATCTATACACATACATACACATATGTATACATATATATACACATACAGTCACACACATATACACATATATATGGAGAGAGGAAATGAGAGCACACATAATGTTCAAAGTATGTTTTTCAATTCAGATTCACCGAAAGTGAAAATTCTGGGGCCCCACCATAAACTTTCTGAATCAGAATCTCTGTGAGTAGAATTTACAAAACCTGCATTTTAACAGTATCTCTAGTGATACTTACATATAGTAAAATTTGAGATCTGCTAGTATAGAATTTTCACCTTTGTAACAGTTTTGCACTTAATTTAAGAGAAAATTGGATTGGCCAACAGGCAGTCAAATACAGAAATATCAGATTAGCCTCTGTGAAATTTAAGCTAATGTGCTGAAAGCATCAGTAGATGCCAGTTGTGGTGCTAGGCTTTTTTATTCACATGGTTTCTTCTATGTCCTACAATACTGTTATGAAGGTATCTGTCTTATTTTTGCATTATATAGATAGGTAAATAAACTCAAAGAGCTTTATGACTGTCTGGCAATCACCCAGGAATTAAGTGACAGAGCTGAGATTCAGACCCAGCTACCTCCATGGTGCCCCACATTTGTTCTCTCTCTGCTGCCCAGTGTGATCCACATGTGCTTTCCTCACTAATCAGTTAGTATGGCCTTAGGGAATCGAGATATTTTTACCAATAACATAAGAAATACCTAATTAGGAGGAAAAATCCACTAATCTAACATTGTGCAATATACTCAAACCCTTTCTTTTGAATTGCTTCTGCCATTATTAGCATAGTTCTGTGAAGGCTGGGTGGCTGTGTGTGAACAGATGCATGTAAAGAAAAGTTAACACCACATTACAGACATTGAAATGAAACCTACATTTAGTTCATGAAACTACGGAAAACCAGAAGGGCAGTGTAGGGCCGCAGTCATATATGTGCATGAAGGATGATGTCAGTACTCCTCATCCAACCTGCCAAGCCCCTTACCAATAAAGCATTAGTTTGCTGTCAAGTACAATGGATAAGGACATGGGCTTTGGAGTCAGATTACCTGGGTATTACCTGGAGTCAGATTACCATGATCTTTTTCTCACTAAGAGATGTATGACAGCTGGCAAGTTGTTTATATTTCCTGAGCCTTAGTTTCTCCATATATAAAATGGGAATAATGGTAGACTTATCCTTATAGAATTGTTGTGAAGATTAAGTGAGATGGTTCATGAAGAACTTTCAGGACAGAGCCTGGCATATGTTAACATTATTCATAAATGTTGGCCATGTTAAACAAAAACTAAGCTCAATGGCTGGACATAATAGGCCCTCAAAGACGTTGGTTGAACATAGGCCAACACAGAGGTACTGTGTCCTTTGATAGTTCCCCTTTCTTTATCTCTATCTGCTTAAAGATTGAGCTGATGTTAGTCATTTTACTAAATAAACGTTCTTTTTTAGGGAATGAGTAGATCCTGCCCTATGCTTAGGAACTGTCATTTTTTTTTTTTTTTTGATATAGAAGAATAGTTTAGGGGAAGGAAAAGAAGGAGGGAGGAGGAGGATTCTTGCAGTCATAGTTCTAATGCCTAAGCATGGACTGTATCAGATAACTGGTCCCCCTGATCTTCCTTTTCATCCTTGCTTTCACCTTGGTCTCTGCTTTTTGCTTTAAGACAGGGTCCCCAAGCCCAGGGTTGCAGTCCGTGGCCTGTTAGGAACCAGTCTGAACACCAGACAGTGAGTGGTCAGCGAGTGAGCATTACGAGTGAGCATTAACCTCTGAGCTCCGCCTTCTGTCAGATCAGCCAGGGCATTAGATTCTCTCAGGAGCAGGAACACTATTGTGAACTGTGCATGCGAGGGATCTAGGTTGTGCGCTCCTTATGAGAATCTGATGTCTGATGATCTCAGGTGGAATGGTTTCATCCCAAAACTATACCCCCTACCCCAACCTCGTCTGTGGAAAAACTGTCTTCCACAAAAGTGGTCCCTGGTGCCAGAAAGATTGGACACCGCTGCTTTAGGATGCCCAGAGTCTGGGGAACACTGTCTTTTGTCGTCTACTTTCCAGTTGTGCTTGCTCAGGATTTCAGCTCCCCCTTCCAGCCCCCTCATCCATCTCCCTCCAGCCCATGCACCCTGCTTTCTTATGAAATTGAGGGTCCTACTTTAACCTTCCAAAACTAAAGGATCAATAATTAATTCAGCTAAAGTTATGTAGGTAAAAATTAGGACCTTTTGAGTTGTTGTTTTTCCTTGGGGAAGTAGAAGCTGGAGAAAGCTACTCAGTGCTTGCATGTTCATCAGAATCTATATAGGGAGTCCTTTTCAAACCACAGAGGCTTTGAGCGCCCCGTCCCACCCACTGCTGCATTACTAAAAGAGTAAGAGATAGAAATGGTGGTGTGTGTGTTCATGTGTGCATTTTTAAAACAAATATTTTTAATTCTTTTAATAAATTATTGAAAAGTAACCAAATGATGTTTTTCCTTTAAAGTCTCTGAATGAATTTAGCTTTGTATAACTAGGTTTTGCTGTGTCAGAGCCTTTTTTGAAAGAAGAATTAGTAGCAGACTCTCTTAATAACTTAAAGTTGTATTTTGAAACTGGTACCTGTAATATTTAGTATATTTTAATTCTATTTTTCTGTGACTACTTTGTAAGAGAAAAGAAATTATTTGTTCTTTCACATTAATGACAATTGTGAGTATAGTCATCACGGGATTAAATAAAAGAAGATTTCTAAGTGCTCCAGAATTCCTGTTTATGTGTGTTCTATGAAAAAGTTTACTGAGGGAATTTTATTTGCTGATTCTTTATCAATTTTATTTCTCTATGTATTATGTGGTGCATTACTGCTATTATTATTGTTTATCTTTACATCAGCACTGAAGGTAGTATTGCATTTTCCTTTGCTAGATTTTTGTTTTGTCTAGCATAAACAGCATCACAATTTAAATATTTATGGTAGACATCATTTTAAGAGGTATTTTTTCTTTTCTTCCTAACCACTTTTAACAGGAGACATTACAAGAGAACACTATGGGAAGTTAAGATGATATTTGTCTTTACTGGTGTTTTCATGCTGTTTTCTAGTTGATTTATATCATTATTTAATGCCAAAATGTGAGACTTGATAAAATAATAATGCAAAATGCTATACTCTTGCTTAGTTTTTATTGTATCAATTTGTATTGAAAATACATAAAATGTTTTAAAAATAATAATGCAAAAATTAATTAGGTCTCATGAACACTGGGGTGTTCATCATGACAGTTCTTGAATAACTGTGTTTTGGTTCTGAGGAGAGTGCACTGTTGATTTGGAAGAAATGAAGACATCGTTGAAGAAAGACTAAAATATCAACTGTCACCACTCACCCCCAAGTGTTTTAATTTTCTTCAAGAATCCCGCAGAGATTTTATGGGGTTGTCAAAGTGGTTGTTAGTAGGCAAGGATTAATCAACAGTATTTATTGCAGGCATTTTTACTAAGTGTTTTTCATATGCATTATCTGATACAATCCTTATGCCAATTCTAAATTTGGAATTGAACCTCATCTTGATGTGATTTACCATGAACCCCATAGCTAATTAGTAGCAGGAGTCAGATTTCAAATTCTTACATGTCTCTTTCTGCCAAATAGCGGAGCCTGTGCTGTTTAATGAACATTGTCTATGATTCTCATGCCATTCTGTAAAGTGGTATTCCCATGCTCATATTTAGAGATGATCAGATCAAAGCTCAGTGAGGTCAAAAACCTTGTCTAATACCACAGAGTTTGTGGTACTAGGATTGGAATTGAGGCATGCCTGATCCCAAGACCTGTGTTAAAACTTCATGCTGCCTCAGTGTCCTTTCCACTTGCTCCCAAAATAAACCTCATCATGTACTCTCTGTTTAATTCTTCCAATCAGCCGTTATACATCAACATTTCTCAGACTGTTGATGAGAAATTTATTAAAAGCATGTGAGATGGCCCCTCTCCTTTTCTATAGGTTAGGAGTCAGAATTGGGATCTTTTGAAAATTTATTTTTGCCTATTAAAAATGCTAAAGAAGAAGTTCCTGCAAGATCTATGTAGTAAGGCATATTAGTGAGCATTTGTGATGGTACATTGTCTCAGCTAAGGCAAGATAAACAGACAAGCTGTGAAAGGAGAATGCAAATTAGTAATTACCACCATTTGTCCTGATTCTGCAGGATACAGGCTAGGGACAATGGAAAGATACATGAAAAACATAAGACAAAATCCTTGTCATTATGGTATTTATAATCCAGCTGAGTAGACTAAATCTACTGTGTGTTCACTGTATGTGTCATATACCACAAGAGAAATTCTGCTCTTATTTGGGCATTTCATACTTGTCATCTCCTTGGTGCAATTCTAGTTCCATGATTGTATGAAACATCTATAATTAGGAAATTTTAAATAACCAAAAAGTACTTCTGCTTCCAGCCAATATAGAGTAACAGGGATTAGATTTACTTTTCCATCTGAAACCAAATAAACCAGACAAAATATTTGAAGCAACAAAAGACAGCAATGCCTGAGAGAAAGGGAACAAATGAACACTTTGATTGCTCTAACTAACTGCATGGAGAGAGTTTCCAGGCTGTGGCTCAGAAAAAAAAAAAAAGACCCAGGCTGTAACTGGCAAAATCCCTGAACTGAGGAGATAGAGCTATAGGTCTGGGGAAATCAAGGCAACTGGAGTTCACAGGACAGAGTACTTGAGAAAGAACCCCAGAGATTTACAGAGGGTCTTCCTTGAGTATTTCACTGATCATTACATAAATGCAAGGAAGCTACTCATAAGTTGAGGAAAAGGCCATCTGAAAGGATTAAAGAGAAGAATGCCTCAAATCCACACAGGGCTAGGGCTATTGCCTGTTCCCCTCAGCCAGATTGGAAAATATTACAATTCATGGGGCATTAGGTAGATAACTCAGAAGGGATTTACCTCAGAGTCAGGAATAATTAGCCCCATTCTAAACAAAGCTCTGATCCCAACTAACAAATATTAAAGCTAGACCTGAAAAGATCAGACTGTTTCCAGATGACTTAACTATATTCCAGAACAAAGCTCAAGCGTATTTAATATTTATAGGAATACAAAATATCCAGCTTTTAACTAGGTAAAATTTATAATGTCTGGCATCGAATTGAAGATCACCAGGCATGTAAAGAAGCAGGAAAATATGACCATTAATGAAAAGAAAAATACATAAACCAAAATGAACACAGAATTCACAGAATTATTAGAATAACAGACAAGGCATTAAAACAGTTTTTATAACTATATTTCATGTATTCAGATAGTTGAGTAGGGACATGAAAATATGAGAAATGGTTCAAACTGAACTTTTGGAAAAGAAAACTACAATGTATGAGATTTTAAAAAACACACTGAATTGAATTAATGGCAGCTTATACATTTCAAAAGCAAAGATTAGTGAGATTGTGAGACCATAAAGTAAGAAATTATAGAAAAAGAAAATCCAAATAAAAAATAAATTTTTAAAAATGAGATGAGTATCAAGGATCTGGAGACAACTTCAAGTGGCCTAATGTGGATGCAACTGCAATTCCCCAAAGAAAGGAGTGGAGTGGAAGAAATATTTGAAGAAATACTGGCCATTATTTTCATTTGATAAAACTGTAAACCCACAAATCCAACAAGCTCAACAAATCACAAGCATGAGAAACATGAGATACATCATGACTGAAGTGCTCAAAACACAGGACAGAATAGGAAAAAAACAGTTATGATGCATATAGAGGAATAAGAATAAAAATAAAAATAACAGCAGGATTCTCTTGAGAAATAATGCAAATAAAAAGACAGTGAAGGCAGTGCTGGAAAAAAAATCAACTTAGAATTCTATACCCAGTGAAAATAACTTTCAGAAAAGAAAGTAAAAAAGGCTTTTTCAGACATACAAACATTGAAAGAAATAATCACCAAGAGACTTCTACTACAAGAAATATTAGAGGAGGTCCTTTGCGCACAAGAAAATTGATACCAGATGAATTGGCAATAAAAAGAAGAGAGCTGAAAATGCTCTTGTGGGAGTGCTTTTTACCTGCATTATCCAATATAGTCCTCACACCAGTTCGGTGAAGTAGGAGCTAAACCTCAGGATGAAATGACTAACATTGGCCACATAGCTAGTTAATAAAGCGGCACTCAGTGAATTAGAAAACATAAAAAGACAATTGAGAAAACCAAAGAAACTAAAATCTGTATCTTAAAAAGATTGATAAAATTGATGAAACTGTAGCCAAACTGATTAGGGAAAAATAATAGGAAAGAAAAGCAACAGCCAAAGCAGAAATGATAAGGGTGACATTACTGTAGATGCTACAGATATTCAGAAGATAATAAAAGAACATTTAGAGCAATTTTATTTTAATACATTTCTACAACTTAGATACAATAAGCTTATTATTTAAAGATACCAACTACCAAACCTTACTCATAAATAAATAGATAACCTAAATTGCCCTATATCTATTAAAGAAATTGAATTTGTAGTTACAAACCTTCCTACAAAGTAAACTTCAGGTGTGGATGATCTCATTGGTAAATTCTACCAAACATTTGATGTGGAAATAATACAAATTCTACACAAAATTTCCCAAAAAAACTAAAGAGAGGGCATATTTTCAAACTAATTCTCTAGAGACAATATAATCTTGATTCCAAAACCAGCCAAAGACATTACATGAAAAGAAAACGACAAACTGATATTTCTGATGAACAGAGATGCTAAGATTATGGGCCAAATATTAGCAAATTTAATCTTATAATATATATAAAGAATAATATATTATGACCAAATGGGGTTTATTCCAGGAGTGTAGAGTCAATTTAACTTCTGAAAACCAAGCAATGCAATTCTTTGCATTAACAAATTAAAAACAGCAACATATAATCATCTCTATGATGACAGGAAAACACTTAAAAATCTATTATCTACTTTTGATTTAAAAAACTCTCAGTGAGCCAGGCGTCTTGTTTCACACTTGTAATCCCAGCACTTTGAGAGGCCAAAGTGGGAGGATCACTTGAGCCAGTAGTTCAAGACTAGCCTAGGCAACACAGCAAGACCCAATCTCTATAAAAAATATACAAATTAGCCAGGCATGATGGCACACACCTGTGGTCCCAGCTACTTGGGAGGCTGAGGTGGGAGGATCTTTTGAGCCCAGTAGGTTAAGCTATACTGAGCTGTGATTGTTGCTGTTGTTGTTTTCCTGAGACAGGGTCTCACTCTGTCACTCAGGATATAGGGTGACAGAGTGAGACCCTGTCTCAGGAAAACAACAAAAAAACAACTCTCAGTGAACTAAGAACACAAGAAGAAAAATTCCTCAATCTGACAAGGGAACCCACAAAAATATCTAAAACTACCACCATACTTCATGGATACTGAGTGCTTTCCCCCTAAGGATTGGGAACAAGGCAAGGACGTCTGTTCTTACTCCCTGTAGTAAACTGGGAGCCTCTAGAGTCCCAGTAGAGTAAGACAAGAAAAAGAATTCAATTTCATATTGTAATGGAAAAAGGAGAACTGTCTTTATTCACAAATGATATAATTGTCTATGTAAAAAATCCAATGAAATCTAAAATAAAGCTACTAGAGCTAATAGCAATGTTTCTGCATACATAATCAAGTTGTAAATATCCAACTATATTTCTAAATACTAGCAAGAACGATAGAAATTGGGTTAGAGTCTCATTTACAATAAGCTTCAAAATATGAAATACCTAGGGATAAATCTGATAGACTTATAGTCAAAGTTTTATTTGGAATAGCAAAAGCTTGGTAACAATCCAAATATCCCTCAACAGATGAATGAATAAACAATTTGAGGTATATCTATACAATGGACTATTACTCAGCAAAGAATAGGAATAAACATGCAGCAAAATGGATGAACCTCAAAATAAATATGCTAAGTGAAAGAAGTCGAACAATAAAAACAGTATATATTACATAATTCCATACTGTTCATGCATACTGTGTGATTCCACTTTTTTAAAAATTTGGAAATTGCACTAATTTATCATAACAGAAATCAGATCAGTGCCTGCTTGCTAGTGGAGGCAGAATTATAACCAGGCACAGGGAATCTTCTGGGGGTAACTGACTTGATTTTGATTATTGTTTCATGGGCATATAGCTATCTCTAAATATCAAATTATAAATTTTAAATATGTGTACTCTGTTAAATGTCAATTATACCTCAATAAGACCACTAGCCTCCATCCCCAAAACAAAACAAAAGTATAAATAAGGCTAAAAAATAACAATAAAATAATTATTTTTTAAAAAACAGTATTTTCAGCCGTTTAGCACCTGTAAGCTTCTTCCTATTTTCCCATTTGAACATCTTGTTCCCTTGTTAGGATTCCTTTCTGTTATGCTTTACATTTACAAAACTTCCTTAATAACCTCCTTATATGAGACCCTCTAGATATGTGATATTTGCCTTTTCTTTAATTTTCTGCTTTTGGAGTTCTCATTAATGGTGGCCATCTCCCCACTCATCTCTAGAAATTATGTAAGCCTGTTCTAGGACATTTCTTTCTTCCTTTTTCAGACTTGTATATTGTTGGAAAAATCACTGGTAAAATATTTATATGCATCTAGATTTTGAGGCACTTTCTAATCTTTGAGCATATGTATTATATGGGATATATTCAATATATACCCATTATTAAAGTCATTGATCATATTAATTAGCAGATGGAGGTCACGAACGCTACTTATATTTCCCTTAAGGCAAGAAAAGATCAGTGAGAAAGAATGTAGAAATATAGATTGGTTTAAGAACGGCTTCAAGGTATGCATAAAAATAAATATTATAAGAACAATAGGAAGCAATGATTCTCCAACCTGGATACATATTAAGATAGCGCAGGAAGATTTTAAAAAATACCTGCTCATGGGTGATCTCCAAATTATACCATTGGACTCAGAAGTTTTGGTGGTGGGGCTTTGTGTTAATATTCTTAAAAAGTCTCCCCAGATGATTCTAGTTGTGCTGCCAGAGTTTTGAGAACCATGGCCATATGCAGTTGTAAGGATCTTGGACACTGGAATACAAAGACTGTCCTCTGCCACTTTCAACCTGAGTGACTCTGGGTGAGATATTAAGGAAGTGGTGCTCAAACTTTGACTGCACTTTGGAGTCATCTGCATAGCTTTAAAAATTATTGATGCCTGATGCCTGGGTCACACCCCTAAAAATTCTAATTTCAGTGGTCTGAGGCACCACTTGGACATGGAGCTATTTGTAAGGATCTTTTAATGTAACTCTGACGTGCAGCCAAAATTGTGAACCACTGTTCTAAGATGAGCTTACTCAGCTATGGCATGTGAACAATAACTCACAGTTTTTGTTGTCATTCTTGTTTGTTTGTATTTTTGTGTATGTGAAGCTTTGAAAAATAATGCATGTTAAGAATTTAATATAGTTGTTTGGCTTATAATAAGCAGTTGATAGAAAGTGATTATTATTTTGGTGTTTTCTGGGTCCCTTCAACTCAAGAAAAGTGAGATCTATACAGGAGAACTCCAAACCAAGAAAGGTTTTTTTTTTTTTTTTTGGCCAGACTCTGAAAAAGTAGGCTCTAATATATATTTTTAAAAAGTCTATACCCATGAAGGACCGTGTGAGGAGATGCTATCTTATATAGAATAGGGCTGAGGCTTATTGAGGCTTTGCCAAGATTTCAGAGTAAATCTTATTCACTTTGAATAAGAAATTTGTCTTATGAGAAAACTATTGGCTTGAAATGTGGTGAATACAAGGGCTGAGGGAGACTCCAGTGGGTTTGTACCTATTCTCAGCCTTACCCAGGAGCTGGCTGAAATGGGTTAGTTGATGGAAAAATCTCTTTGTGTGTGTGTGTATGTGTGTGTGTGTGTGTGTGTGTTTTAAGTAAGTTTTTCTGTTCGTAAGTGACGTTATTTTGATTGTTAAATGTGATGTTTTTCTATTGTAAAAGAAAAGTCACTAAAAACTGAGAGGACAAATGGTACCTCATAAGCACCCAGACTTGAGCACCTGAATAAAAGCCTGCCCCAGATCTTCCTGGGACTGACTCAGGTTGACTGCTCTAAGCACTGTGATAGAAATAGTCTGTAATAGAAATGCATTAGTCTTGGATTGTTATCACCATCATCATTGGTGAACCCAGACTTTCCCTACACCAAATCAATCCCTTTCCCTCCAGCTTCTATTACTCCAGCTCTTCTGTGGGCAAGGTACTAGCTTCTCAAGGTATTACTTTGATATTGTGACTCTCTTGAGATCCTACATTAGCTTTCAATTGGATCAAAATAAACTCTCCATCTTGGGGTGTAAAACCACCCTCTAACTCCTTAATTTAATTTCCCTGCTTCCCAGGTCACTCTAATCCAGCTTGGCATACCTGCTTGTTATCACCTGTTTGAGCTCTCTTTCCCTCTCACCTGTAATGCACCTCGTGTCTCTGGAGCCCTTACTCTGTTCAGTGACAGCATCAGGTATTGTCTTAGTCACTTTGGGCTGCTCTAACACGTTACCATAGTCTGGGTGGCTTAAACAACAGAAATTGATTTCTCACAGTTCTGGAGGCTGGGAAGTCCAAGATCAAGGTGCCAGAAGATTTGATTCCCAGTGAGGGCTCTCTTCCTGGCTTGCAGACGACCATATTCTTGCTGTGTTCTCACATGGTTGTTAATGGAGAGAGATGACGCTCTCCCTTTCTTCTTATAAGGGCACTAATCCCATCATAAGGGCTCTACCTTCATAACCTACTTTCCTCCCAAAAGTCCTACCTTCAAATAGCATCACATATGAAATGTTGACATATGAAATTTAGGGGGACACAAGCATTCAGTTTTTAATAGGCATAATGTCATTATTCCCATTTGAATAATGAGAATCTCAAGGATTAGAGATATTAAATAATTCAGCCCAGGGCACATAGGTAGTAAGTGGTAGAACATGGCTTTTTCACTGTCTGTATATCACATACTGTAAATTTCTCCTTACCAAGAAGTATGACTTAAATTCCTGATTATAGCCATCATAACAAGTACAGCTGAGATAGCATCCTTTATTCTAGCTCCCTAGCTCCCCACGTATAAATTCTAAAATACATAAATTAGAACTTACTGAAATATCTTTTATGTTTTGTTTTGTTTTTGAGACAGGTTCTCACTCTTTTGCCTGGGCTAGAGTACAGTGGCATGATGGCACAATCTCGGCTCACTTCACACTTGATCTCCCAAGGCCCAAGTGATTCTTCTGCCTCAGCCTCCCAAATAGGTGGGACCACAGGTGTGTGACATCATGCCTGGCTAATTTTTAAATTTTTAGTAGAGGTGGAGTTTCGCCATGTTGCCCAGGCTGGTCTTGAACTCCTAGGCTCAAACGATACACTTGCCTTGGCCTCCCAAAGTGCTGGGATTACAGGTGTGAGTCACCATGCCTGGCCTGAAATATCTTTTTGGTGGTAGGGGTGGGGGTGGGGTTAGGGGGTGGCAGCTGGGGATGATTTTCGTATTGCTATCATTCCTTCATTCCTATTTAGCTGTCATGCATTAGACTCTGTCTCAAGGAGAGGGATTATTCCACTGCCTTTCTTTTCTTTTCTTTTCTATTTTTCTTGTCACCCAGGCTGGAGTGCAGTGGTGCAATCTTGGCTCACTGCTGCCTCCGCCTCCTGGGTTCAGGCAATTCTCCTGCCTCAGCCTCCTGAGTAGCTGGGATTACAGGCACCTGCCACCACGTCCAGCTAACTTTTGTATGTTTACTAGAGACAGGGTTTTGCCATGTTGGCCAGGCTAGTCTCAAACTCCTGACCTTGGGTGATCCACCTGCCTTGGCCTCCCAAAGTGCTGGGATTACAGGCGTGAGCCACTGCCCCCGGCCTCCACTGCTTTTCATAGATCTCGGTAAAGACTTTGTAATGAAAAATATGTCACCTGCCTTAAAAACAGTGTGTTGTCAGTAAATTATCAGCCCACTTCCAGAGTCCAATCAAATATATCAGTATAACTGGAGACTCTACAATGTGTTCCATGAAAACATAGCATCTGAATGATGAATGGTCTTTGCCTTCAAGAGATTTATATCCTGGTGGTAACAAGAACATATTGAAAATAAGAGTAATAATAATTTCCTTTAAATTATCTTTATTAATTGAATTGTTTAAACTATTTAGGTACACAACAGGGGCAGCTGCTTTAATTTGAACTTCTCCAGCGGGAAACCTGAAACACAAAGTAGATAGGTGACCTGCTTCAGTCTCCTTGTGGGATCAGCCATAGATTCACTGCTGCTGAGGCCTCCTGCTTTCTGGCAAGCTGGGCAGTAAAGCTGATACCTATGTGCCTGGCCATATCTCATTTATGACTGAGATCCAAGGCAAGATTGTGAAATATTTATTCCTAGGAATATCTATTGACAACTGATGTACTTCTTGGGAATTTTCACAAATTTGACAATTAGATAAAAAGAAATGGCAAATTCAATAAAATTTTAAATCAACTATAACACCTTGCACTTACAATTAAATGACCAGGTTTATTTTCATTTTTATTTTTTTATTTTGATGCCCCAGACTAGCTATGCTGTATGGACAAGTGTTTCAAGTTAGTCTCACAATAGGGAATCATCAAGCAGTTCATTAAGTATTTCCTGAGGACCTATAATGAGCTAGGTACAGTCTGAAAAACACAGGCAAAATCTCTGATCTCATAGAGATTCTATTCTAGTTGAGGTGTGGTAAAATGGGGAAGATGGCAATCACCAAGTAAACTATTAAGAATGTGCCCTAAAGGAAATAAAATAAGACTATGTGATAAAGGAAAAATAGGAGACTAATGTAGACAGAGTGGTCAGGGAAGTTCTCACTTAGAGATGCCTTGTGAGCTGAAACCTGAGGGGAGAAAGAAACAAGCCATGTGAAGACCTAGGGGTACTCTTCTAGGTACTTAGAACAGCAAGTGCAAGGGCTCTGTGGCAGTAAGGAACTTAGCATGTGCACAGCAAAAGGACAGTGTGGCTGCAGCAAACAGAGGGGAGAGTAGCAAGAGAAAAGGAAAAGGACCCATTATTGGAGACCTGATGATTTTGGCTCTTCTTTAGTGTGAAATAAAGAATAGGGTTTAGTGGAGAAGTGTTTTGTTTTGAGAGTAGTTGTACATCGAGAGGATCATCTGTCTCTTGTGTTGAGAATAGGCTGTAGAGGTGTAAATCAAAAATAAAATTCTAAACCCCTCAGCTGACTGAATGGATCCCTTCTGAATGTCCTCCCCAAGGACATTCCAAAGTAAACCTGAAAAGCTAGTTCTGACCATGATGGGAAGCAGGGGTTAGAGAAGCCTCATTATACCCTTCTCCCTCTGGAATTCAGGCCAACTGCCCAGCATTAACATTAAAACAGAGATCTTAAGATTGACAAAACAGCAATAAGATACCAAAATCCAACCTGACTAGTATAACATCACATGACAGATAGCAGACCCTGAAAAAAATAAAAGTATTTTACCCCAAAATACTTTTCTTGAGAATGACCCTGCAAAGCTGTCTCTTGTAGGGAAAATCTACATTCTGCAGAGAATCCCCTTCATCTTCCAGGTCTTTTACTAACCCAGGAGAGAATTAACTAAGAGTCTGGCACCTTTACCATTTATTCTCTCTGAAGCCTGCTATCTGGAGGATTTATCTACATAATAAAAACCTTGGTTCCACAATCTCTTATCTTAACCCAGACACTCCTTTCTATTGGTTCCAGGTCTTTAGATAATAACTCTTTCAACCAATTGCCAATCAGAAAACTTTGAATCCACCTATTTCCTGGAACCACAACACCACCCTCCTCCACTTGAAGTTATTCCACTTTTCTGGATTGAACTCATGTGTACCTTTGAGGTATTGATTGATGTCTGCCTGTAGCTTCTGTCCCCCTAAAATGTATAAAATCAAGTTGCAACCCAATAACCTTGGGCACATGTTCTCAGGACTTCCTGGGGCTACGTCATGGGCCTTGGTCACTCACATTAGGCTCAGAATAAACCTCCTTAAATATTTTACAGTGTTTGACTCTTTTCATTGACAGAGGGCCAAGGATAGCCAGGACATAACATTTGTTGTTTAGGAAATTACTGAAATAGCTCAGGAGAAGGAGAGGTGGCTTGGATTTTATGGTAACTGTGTTAAGATGTGGTCAGAGTCTGGACATGCTTGAATAATATCTTCATGTAAAAGAGAGATAGGAGTCAAAAAGTATTCTAAAGTTTCTGGCTTAAACAATTAGAAGTTGAATATTACTATTGACTGAGATTGTAAAGGCTAAAAGTGGAACAGTTTGGGGGGATGATTAAGAGTTCAGTTTTGGGCATGTGAAGGATGAAGTGTCCAAGTGGAGGTATCCAGTAAGTCACTGGATATAGAATTCTGGAGTTTGGGGAGAGATCTGTCCTAGGGATGTGCATTTGGGCAATTGATGGCACATGGTTGGTGTTTAAAGCTATGAGACTAGATGAGATTGCCAAGAGAGTACCAGGTCATGGGGAAGGCACAGAGAACAGATGAGGAGTGTGTCTTCATATCTTGCTTTCTAGGACGTATCTAGGAAGATTCTGGAGTCTCTGGCTTGTGAGCCTCTCCTTTCCTCTTGGCTGATTTGTTTGTATTTCATCCACTTTTCTTGAACTAGTCTGTGGCTTTAGTATCAGATGACAGTATTCACTAATTCCTGAAACAGCATGAATAATTAACATCAGGATAAAAAAAATGGTCATAAGTGATTGGGACCCATCTAAGTATTTGGAGGAATCACCTAAATGGAATAAGATATATATACAATGTCAGAGGACAAAATTACAACAAATTGATTAAAGATCTCCATTGACTTTATTGTGATTCTAGAATTCTATTCTATGAAATAGAGTAAGTGTTCCAATGTGTTGACCAGAAGAGATTGGCTTTATAGACAAAGAAGGCCTGAAGAAAGCAGAAATAAACAACAAAAAATGGATCGGTCATTTCAAAGTTACTTTCCTTGTAAGGTGGGGATAGGGAGACAGGATAATAGAAAAATAACTGATTGGTTAATGTCAGATTACTTCAGGTTAAGCATTAAAAGAGAGGAAACTTCATTATCATGTCCATTGAAGATTGAAACTGATCTGTTTGGGAAATTGGCTGTTACCTCTCTCTCCTGATTTTTCTGAAGGTCAGACAAAATTTAATTTAGGTTTCATGATGTAGAACTTTGGCATGGGTGACTCCATTTTGACTTTTAATCTGTTCTATTGGGGCCTAGTGCAGGAGTTTAGTTCAAAACAATGTTTTCCTATAACTTGTATTCAACAGTGTTCAGTGGAGCCAGGACATCTCTTCTACTACGTTGTTATTAGAACATTTTTGAATTAGTGGAATCTAGGAGTAAAGAGAGTTCTGCTGTAACATGTCTTCTTTGGTTATGAAGTTGCTTTCTTGGCCCTTTCAATTATGGAGTCCCCAAGTCCAAGTTTTATTAGGCTTGGAAGATGGTAGTCACACCCGCGCAGAATTTTTAAATTACGGGCTCGAATACTTCAATGCACTAAAAATTGTGCTTTCTCGGAGCCAGCGAACACATGAGTTATTTCTGTTTTAACTGTAAAATGATAATGTAAGGACAAATTCAAATTAAAAATAAGAGGCTTAATTCTCCCGTTGAAAAATAAGAGAAAAGATTTCCCTCTTTTCTATTTTCTTTGAGCATTTACTTTAGAAAACTTGTAACTGTACATACTTTCTCCTCTGTTTGAAATGTGTATAAATCATTTTGAAGACTATATTGGTATATTGTCAGCTTTTTGACCTGAGAATGTCTTTCTCATGGACCTGGGAGCCGTCTCTTTAAAATGTAAACATCAAGGGAGATAGCACCCCTACCCATTTCTGTGGAAGGGTAGAATCCTAACTTGGAGGTGAATGGGGCATCTTACTCCAAGTTACAAAACTACCTTCTGTCATAAAGATATGAGAAGTTCCTTTTTTCTCTGGATGAAGTCAATTAGCTAACCCAGATGGCCACTTTAATTATCAGGTAAAGTTAGAACAAGTTATGTGTGACAAATGGTGCTGTCAAGTTCTGTTACTTGAGGACTAGTTATTGTTTATCTTGACAACATGCATGCAATGGTTTTTTGTCTGCTTGGCTGTATAGAAGGTGACATTTTGTTCTGTCTTTGCAGTCTCTTAGTGGATTGCCTGTGATGCACGTCACAATCTGCTTTAATGCATATTCAATAATAAAACTGTTTTCTTTCTGTACTATTTTCATGGAGAGGATTTATGAACTGGGAGATTTTGCTTTTAATTAGATTTCTCCAACATTTGTTTATGATACATATCCAAATTACTGATATGTTTTGGTTCTCTAAAATCCGCTTTCAAACATTCATGCATGATTCATTTCCATTGGATTGTTTAACTGACTTTTTGCTCCCAAAAGTAGACTTAGTGTTTGAAGACTGGATTCTTTCTTTCTGAGAGATAATTCTGATCACTGTATTCTTGGTATAATTAATTTTTGGTTCTTTTAAAATATTATGCCTATTTGCTGAAAATAATCACTAAATAATTGAGGGCCCTATTAAAGGGTGTTCTGTAGGTATACATGTTAATGCCACAACAAACTATCACAGACTAGATGGTTTACATAACAGAAATATATTTTCTCATAGATCTGCAGGTTAGAAGTCCAAAATTAAGGTGTCAGTAGGGTTGTTTTTTTCTGAGCATTCTCTCCTTGGTTTGTAGATGGCTGCCTTCTCTGTGTTGTCTCATGGTCTTCCCTCTGAGCATGTCTGTGTCTTAATCTGTATCTGAATTAGTCATAAAATATGACTAATGTTCTTTTCACAAGAGCATTAGTATTAGAGCCATATTGTATTAGGGCCTACCATAATGACCTCATTTTATCTCAATTACCTCTTTAAAGTCCCTGTCTCCAAAGAGTCACATTCTGAGGTACTGGGAGTTAAGACTTCAACATAGGAATTTTTGGCAGACATAGTTTAGTGTTTATCTATTCAAGTTGTTATTTAAATATGTGCAAAAGTAGTTTCATCAAAATGCCCTAAACCACAGAATGCAACTGTCACTTAAACTAGTTTTTATGAGATTAGAATTCAGCAATCTACTTGTCTTAGTCACTAGAACCAGTATCTCCAAAATGATGCCCTATATTTTGTTTCTTGTTTGTTTCTAAGAATATAGAATTGTTTTAGAATAACAATATGTATTGCTGACTAGTTCCTTCAAAGAAAGAACAAACTGTTTTATGGAAAATGTGCCCCAAATCTTAAAATTGAACTTCAGTAATCTGAAAGTATTCCCAAGTCTCTTTTCTGGCCTCAAGTTGGTAGAGTAAATTTCCTCTTAAACATAAATAAAAATGAATAAAATGTCTTTATGGTCAGCTCCACCCTAAATGACACACATGCAACATTTGCCCCCAAAATGGTACTTATGACCATTAATTAAAATTCAATTCTCTCTATGTTCACTATTGCATGTATGAGGGAAGAGATAACATATGTCCACATTTTCTGACCTTTGCATATACTTGCATTTATTAAGAGATTAGTGCCTCCCCCAAGCACACTTTGGTGACCCACAAAGTAACTTGCCACCAGACCTGAGCCTTGGAAGGAGAAGAAGGAAGAAATGTTAAAAGGTGGACATATTTTCTCCTTAGACATTATATTTGTCTCCTTCTATTAGATTTATTTTTGGCACACAGAAGAGCACATCCATATGGGGAACATTTTAAAATTGCTTGTGAAGAACAGGCATATTTCCAAGAGGAAATGTAACCTTCCCTTCATCTGGCATATCAGATCAATGCACTGTAAAAGATCATGTTCAGTTACCTCATTTTTTTTGGATTAGAATTAATGGCTCATTAGTCTTGATCATATCAATATTATAACACCACTTACATTTGATAGAAAAGGGAAGAAGGCTGATGGAGTGCACTTATTCCCTTTTACTCTTAGAGAGTAGATTGTGTGCCAGCCTCAGGGAAACCAGCAGGATCACGGAGGTGGCCCTTTTCAAATGGGCCATTTAGGGTAAATGTGGACTCTTTTGTATGAGGCTGTTGGAAGAAGAGTTAAAAGGTTCTCAAGGTTTGGGTCACTTGGGACATATATCAGTGTCTCCACCCCTTACTTTGGGCAGCTGGCCAGAGTGGGGGAACCAGACACCCTCAGCCTTTCTTTGGCCACATGTTGGACCATATGTTGGAAACTGGAAAAATAGACATTAAGAATCTCTTGAACATCTCTCCAATGAGGAATTCCATCTACAAAAAAGCATATATTTATTCAGGGCTCAGAGAGAGATGCGGATGTACTCTTTTGAAATAAAAATAAGAAATATTGCCAGGTACAAGATAACATTATTTAAGATTTATCCCCGCTCCCATCCCTAAATTTTGCCAAAAAGAAACAGTAATCAAATGGACTCTCAAATTAAAGCAAAAGAAAGCAAACCAAAAACTAACTTTATGGAAGGAAACACTAGACTAGGAGCCAAGGACTCTAGCTGCATTGTTGATGGCCATTATCTCATCTTGTGGCTGTGGGTAGTGAGTACTCCTTAGTTTTTGTCTGCACAGCACCTTTTTCTCTTGGGAGCTGCCAGCCAGCCATACACATGCCTTACTGAGCTGTGAATCTATAGGATATGAGTTAATACCTTATCTCTTTGGCCACAGGGGTTGGCTTAAAGATGAATGACCTTCATGCCAATTTAGTCTAATTAATGACCCTGGGATTTTGCTGGGACTATCGGGAAACTGGCACTTGCTTTCCACTGGGTTTATGAATTGAAATGATAATCTAAATTGGTAGCTGCTGGTCTTCATCTTTGCCACATAAAGGCAACTCCAAGAAAGGCAGCCTGAGAAATGCCCAGAGAGAAGCAGAGCTGGATGACACATATTTGAATCTTTGGCTCCTCATGGAGCCTCTTACACACACACACACACACACACACACAGAGAGAGAGAGAGAGAGAGAGAGAGAGAGATTACCCAGGCCTGGTGGTACAGTGGGAGGATCACTTGGAGCCCGGTGTTTGAGGCTGCAGTAAGCTACTGTGCCACTGTACTGTAGCCTGGGCAACAGAGGAAGACCCCCCCCAACTCAAAAAATAAAAATAAAAAAGAAGTGACCTATATAAATATTCTTTTCTCTCTTAACCCTTGGAGAAGCTCACAAAATTTTACTAAGCTAATTTTTAAACGGAATTCAGTGTCACTGGAAAAGTCATTTTGATAGCTTTGAAAGTATGGCATCACTCTGCAAAACAGGCTCAAAAGAACAGTAGTACTTAGCTATTGTAGTACTTGAAAGCTGTTTACTAGCACACTTAGCATCCCTTCATGATATGCAAGTGTGGACTATGAAATGAGGATAATAATAATCAGAGTGGAGGAAAAAAGGCTTGAGTAAGTAGGACCAGTTTTAAAACTCATAGCTTTTGATGATGTGTTTGTCCTGTATGTTGGAGACCTGCTGTTTATTTAGATGGGGTCTTGCTCTGTTACTCAGACTGGAGTGCAGTGGTGCGATCATGGCTCACTTCAGTCTCAAATTCCTAGGCTCAAGTGGTGCTCCTACCTCAGCCTCTCAAGTAGCTGGGACCACAGGCATATGTCACCACACCCAGCTTATTTATTTATTTATTTTTGTAGAGATGGAGTCTTGCTATGTTGGCCAGGCTGGTCTTGAACACCTGGGCTCAAACATTCCTCCCGCCTCATCCTCTTAAAGTGCTGGGATTACAGGCATGAGCCGCCTTGCCTAGCCAAGACTTACTGTTGTGTATTGCCCCGTGAGCACTTTGCCTGAGGTTTTGGGAAAATGGCCTTGCTTTAGTTGTGGGGTCTCTAATGTATTATCAGGAGCCAGAGGGAGAAAGATAATCTATCTTCTAATGCAGAAGTGACTTAGGAAATCCCTAATGGGTAAGTTCATCTCTTAACTATTTTCGAACATGTTTTCCAGTGCTAATTTATAAAAGTAGACTCTGGTTTGAGTGCCTCTGCAGAAAATATCACAGATGAAGCACCTGAGCAGTGAATGGATATTTGTGCATTATAAACTTTCTGTGGCTTTGTGGAAGCAAGCAGACATAAAAAGAAAAGTGACCACGTTCAATTCCCAACACACATCTGGCAGGCTTCCTCTTCATAAGCAGAGAATGAATTCATCCAACAGGTTAATGGCTCTTCAACTTTGATGTGCGTGAGAATCACCTGGAGAGTTTATTAAATTACCCATTCCTAGGACCCTCCTCAGAAATACTGGTTCAGCCAATCTGGAGCAGAGTTTAGGAATCTGATTTCCATGTAAGGGGTTCACAAGCAGGGTTGGTTCCCTAACACCACTGCTCTAAGTGCTGTGGCGAGAGTACAAATTCCTCAATGACAATCAGTTAGTCACAATGTCCAGATGAGGGCCAGCGGAACATACAGGTGAACCACATAATGGCAAAAACCCAAAGACCAGAAAGGGCTATTGCTCAGGAATACACAGCCTCGGGAATTTTAGGTTACCATGGGCTCGAGTTGAACATGAAAGAGCTGTAGGCCAGATTTAAAAAGTAACCTGGACTTTAAAAGAAGTCAAATCTGATCCAACCTTTCTATTTTTTTTTTTTTTTCAGAAAAGAAAAAGGAGATGCATAGAGGTTAAATAACTGGCCTATGGCCACTCAGCTAAGAGTTGAAGGGCAAGGACTGGAAGCAGAGTCTTCTAACTGTATCCAAGCCACTTGAGCCTATAAGCAGCCCTTTCAGGTTGCCCTGGAGACAATGGCAGAAGGTACACAGAGCGACATCCTATTAAAGAGACATGGGAAAAGATGGCTAAATATTGATACTGTTTTTAGATTTGAGTTTACAAAGCAGAGGAGATATGTCAATAATTTTCAGTGATATGCAGATAGTGTTCCACCCGGAAGAAAGGGATTCCATTGTATATGTTTTCATCACTGACTTTGATACACATAGATGATATATTAACTAACAATTATTAAATGCCATTAGCTTTTTACATGAATAAACTTCTCTCATCTTCTCAAAAAAAGGACTCTACGAGAGAGAGTATTATCCTTAATTTATAGATGCAAAAACTGAGATACAGGACTAAGAAGCTTGTCGAAGTTTGCACAGCCAGTAATGGCAGAAGTGTGGATGCAAGTAAAGGCTCTTTGCCTTCCCAGCCCTCTCTAAACCACCACTCTATACAGAAGCTTATAAATCTACATAGAATCACTCCATGCTTGTAGGAGTGGCCAAATTCTTAAATGACAGGATGAAGATTTTGAAAAGGTTCTGTTAGTTCTGTTAGAAACTAATGATGTAACTTAATAGGTATAAATGTACATTTCTACATTTAAGTTAAAAAAAATCAGCTGCACACATATCAGGATGCTAGTAAGACCTGACTTAAACACCAATCCTACGAAAGTCTTAGGGGTTTCCTCTGACTTTGCACTCCTATGAACATGTAATGAAAAGTGGCTGACAAAAGCTTGTGTAATCTTAGGCATAAGCCAGGACAAGGTAGATAAAGGTCCCACTGCATTTTAGATATGTTAGATCTAGACCGGAGTTAACTGGACAATAAAATGAATCTGTTTTGTTTTTTAATAAAAGAGAACAACAAGTTGAGTTCAGAAGTGGAGGTCTTTCATGTGGTAGAGATTTGTGAATTTTGGTGGCTCAGTATCTACTGTCTCAATTCTCTGTGTCTCTCTCTCTCTTTTCTTCTTCTTTCTCTTGATAACAGCACCATATTTTCTTATGTGTAGGACATGAGACAAGTGTCCCACACCAGATTTTACTGCACACACTCTTTCTCTCTTCTACTGTTGCTTTCCAATCAGTGTCTCCTGGGCCTGGTTTGCTATTCATATAGATTTACTGGGTGGAAAATCCGGAGTGCTCATAAGCTGCTTCACTTGTCAGCCACTAAGAGCCCTCTCAGCCAACAAAAATGCAGGTGGCTGTGTTCTGACCAGGTCTGTTGTTCTTCAACATGAAATCAAAACCCACCCTCACTGCATCTTGGTCGTCCTGATGGAACTTGTAGTGCCCTTGTGCCTCATCTTCCATTCCTGCCCCTTAGCCAAGGTGCAAGTCCATGGTCCAAACTGGCCATACTTTATCTTTTTGGGGATTTTATTTTATTTTTGAACAGAGTGATACATGACAAAAAGTGGTTGGAGCAGAATGATTCTGATATTGGCATCTGCAGGAGACTGTGCACTCCTCACCAAGATTTCTGTACACCTCTACCTTGGTTCCTGTGCCTTTTGAGGCTGAAAGCCCAATCTGAACCCAGGTACTTTTGCATAGATCACTCTTTATGAGCTATCAGCCCATTTATCCAAATGACATTAACACTCATCATGAAGTCTCACAAATATTGGCTTCTACTTTTGCTTCTTCTCATCCTCATCATCCTCTTTCTCTTCCTCTTTCTTCTTTAGAGAAGTGCTAGGTTCCAGACTTGTGTATAGAGGTGAATATAAATATGGAAAGCAATTTCTTCCTAGTAAATTTAATAACATGAAATTGTGTTTCTGAACTGTTTCAGATACAAGAGGTCATGTGTCTGGCCCCAGGTGGGTGATGGATTGATCAAGAAAAGACTAACTCGTGTACTAATTGAGGAAAGAAAGAAACAATTTCCAGGGCTGACATAGAATTCTGCATAAAAAAAATCCCACCCTAATTGAAAAGAAATAACCAAGAAAAAGAGGTAAAATTACAAAAAGAGAAAGGGTAAGAGAGCAATGATGACAATGAGGATGACTAAAAGTGTGTTTTTAGTTTGTCAACCACTGTCACAGATTTCCTTTCTTGCTCCTTGTGAACTCTTTAAGGTCCCTGTTTTCTAGGCTAGCATCCACAGGGCTGGACAATTCGACTTGCTCAAAGCCCTAGAGCCATGAGATTTACATGGCTAAATCACCCACTCACACCTTCCTATCCTCCACCATATTTTCCTGCCAAGCCCTTTCCTTTTCCCACCTTTCAACCTTTCTGACTGTGACTCTCTGTTAAAATAAAACTATTTTAGAAATCTCCCAGCTTCCTCTTTCTTTCCTTCTTTGAACAAGCACTGTGCCTCTCATTTTGTTTAGAACCAATTATAAAACTCATCTTTCACTCATGAGACTTGTGTCCTACACCAGATTATACTGCACACACTCTTTCTCTCTTCTAGTTTTGCTTTCCAATCAGTGTCTCCTGGGCCTGGTTTGCTACCCTTGTAGAATTAGTGGGCGGAAAATCTGGAGTGCTCATAAGCTGCACCACTCGTCAGTCA
This sequence comes from Homo sapiens, assembly GCF_000001405.40. Taxonomy (NCBI): domain Eukaryota; kingdom Metazoa; phylum Chordata; class Mammalia; order Primates; family Hominidae; genus Homo; species Homo sapiens. Next base: position 78,742,859 of record NC_000013.11, read on the forward strand.
CTAAGAGCCCTCTCAGCCAACCAAAATGCAGGCGGCTGTGTTCTGACCGGGTCTGTGGTTCTCCAACACAAAATCCAAACACCGTGATACTGTGCCCCTGTGACTGAGCTTTTAGGGGCTGAAAGAAAGGAAATGTTTATTAGTAGTAGCTAGAGATGTTTCTGAAGGCAAAAGGCCTAAGCAAAGAGATGGTGTTCTGAGTGGAGTTTGTATTAAGTCCCTGATTCCTGCTGTGAACAGTGAAATGTGGTTGTTTTATAAATTAGCCACATTTGAATTCTAAATCACTACAGGTGCAGCAGAGCCTTTGATATAAGACTAAGCTTATTTTTCAACCAATGAAATAATTGCTCAACATTGGTGTGTTGGTTGATGGGGGAAGGGAAAGTCAGCTTTTTGAAAAACTATACCTGCAACCCAGATAATATTCTAAATACCTGACAGTACAAAATAATGGTATTGATAAGATGAATAAATCTGATCCTGGCTATTTTATGTCAAATTGGTAGAAGACAAATTTTCATGCAAGTATGCAGAAAAGTAATAAACCTGCTTAAGGAACAAATTTAATGGTTTCTAAGACTATATATTTCTAATAATTGTTTATATTTTTAATGTAATACTACTATTCCTAGCAAGAAGCTCGTTTCAAGTTGTGGAGAGATTGGAATAAAACTGAAGAATCAGAATTTTCTAGAAGGCAGTTTCAAGGCAATTCAATATGACTAGATGCATTTCCTATCATGTTTAATTCTTCTTTGTCTCAAAGATTTTTTTTTTGTAATTAACCATGGACAGTCTTCAGTAGCTAGCTCTCCCCTGTCCTCCCTCATGAATGTGGGAGGTGAGAAGGGAGGGGTAGGTTTTAGAGGATTTTTTTTCCCTTTAAATTATTTTTTGGCTTCTTACTAAAGGCATGTCCACAATTCACATTCATACATTTTAGGTCTAATTGAAGATGTTAAAAACATCAAGCCTTAACCTGATGGTATTTTCAAAAATCCCATGACTGTTTAGGAGCAGTCAGCAGAGAGTTGTTAAGAGAAGCTAAATGAGGCATCAGGCAATCAAGATAATCATTTCTGGGTTTTCTTTGGTTCATGAGAAATTAATTTGGATTCACCTAGTTGTACTATCACATCTTCCAATTCAAATCACCTCTCCCGGCCCTACAACTAAAAGTAAAAAAGTAAGCTTTACAAATCAAGCTGGAAGTCTATTGGCAAGCCTTTGTGGAAAACTCCTGCTGCCATTGAATAGGTTCTGCCTCTTCTGGGGATATTTAAAACCCTCTGTGTCCAGGATTGCCAAGTCAGCACTTTCCAGGAGCACTTAGAAATGAGGCATCCCCACCTCTCCATCAACGACAGCCAAAAGCCCAAGCTACTAGTAACAGCATAAGGGGGAGCAAGGGGGAACTTTAGAAAGGGTCTCAGGAAATACTTTCCCAGAGCAAGTCAATACAAATGTGAGGTTGTCTTTCAGAGTGAGCGGTGAAGTCCCTTCTTTGGAATTCTGCCTACTTGCACTCTTAATACTGCTACTGCTCTTTCGCCTCTGCACGTTGATCAAGCACCACTCCTGCTTTAGGCTCCTGTGGAACACGCTTAGACCAAGTGTCTGCAAGATGAAGCACTCTGAAATGTTCTGCAGGAAACAGCCCCACGCTGACAGGGAGAGAGGAATGGATGGTCTCCTTCTCAAGTCGCTGGTTCTATTATAAATTAGATGCCTACTTAAAAAATGAGCCAAGTATAAATAATTTAAAACAAACCAAAGGCCTTTATTACCACCATTGTACCCAGGCTTTTGAAGATGACTCGTCTACCCTGGTACATTTATGGATGCTTGTTCTACTTTGCTCTCCTCTATTTCTCTCATAAGGACCTGCCTACTATTAAAAACAAACAAACAAAACATAACAAAAAGAATGAAAGAAAAACACCTAGTACTGTCTTCAGTCTAATTTCACTTACAAGTCCCAGGCTCCAAGGCAGCCAGGGTTTATTCTGGAAACAGTCCACATATGCATCTAACATACGTCTGTCTCCCCTTTACTCCCCAAAGGGATGGGAGATCTCAGGGCAAGCCACCAGGAATTTCCTGGGAAGCATTTAGAGTTGAGTATTCATTGGTCCAGCTCTTCCCATCCAGCTTTGTCACTTATGCCAGCTCTGGAAGTGCTGCAACTTTGTCTATCTCCTTTCCTTTTTTTTTTTTTTTTTGTAGTGATGACCACACCCCTCTTTACCCTATTGCTGATATTTCATTATTTAACTGCTTAAATTGTTATTGTTTTCCGACAAAATGATCTGACTCCTATAGAAACAAAATGCAAAGATAGTTTTTCAGTGGGAGAAAAGGAATCCAATAGAAAATTAGTAAAAACTGCAGCAATACAACTCTCTCTAATATATAAAAATATTCCAGAAGCTTAAATGAGAAAGTAAGAATGGAAAACTGGAAGTAAGAATGTGAAAGTTTATAAGGCTGCTGCTTTTGTAAGGAAGAAAAGAGAGGGATAGGGTGGGTAAATTTGAGAGCTCTGACTGAGGCAAAATACTCTTAGTTCCCAAACTCAGCTGCACATTATACCACTTGGGGTCTTTATTACAAATTCAGGTTTCTGACTGAGAACAGTGGTTCACACCTGTAGTCCCAGCACTTTGAGAGGCCAAGGCAGGCAGATCATTTGAGGTCAGGAGTTTAAGATGAGCCTGGCCAACATGGTGAAACCCTGTCTCTACTAAAAATACAAAAATTAGCCAAGCGTGGTGGTGAGCACCTGTTATCCCAGCTACTTGGGAGGCTGAGGCAGGAGAATCACTCGAACCCAGGAGGCGGAGGTTGTAGTGAGCTGAGATCTTGCCACTGCACTTCAGCCTGGGTGACAGAGGGAGATTCCATCTTTAAAAAACAATCAGGTTTCATAGATTTACACTGGGAATTCTATACGGAGAATTCTACATCATAAGATCTGGGTAGAAGCTTAATAATAGGCACTTTGGGAAAACCTGCTCTAAGAAGCAATAATGTTAGCTTGGTTGTTACTTGAACTGTAGCTACTAACCTTCTGAAATAAGTTAGATCAGACAAGATTAGTCTATTAGTCCATTCTTACACTGCTATAAAGAACAATCTGAGATTGGGTAATTAATAAAGAAAAGAGGTTTAATTGACTCACAGTTCCACAACCTGTGGCATGGCTGGGGAGGCCTCAGGAAACTTACAATCATGGTGGAAGGGTGAATGGGAAGCAAGCATGTCTTCACACGGTGGCAGAGGAGAGAAAGAGAGAGAGAGAGAGAAAGGGGGAAGTACTACACACTTTCAAACAACCAGATCTCTTGAGAACTCAGTCACTATAATGAGAACAGCAAGGGGGAAATCCCACCTCCATGGTCCAACCCCCTCCAGCAAGAATACAGAGGCTGCAGTTATCATGGCTCACTGCAGCCTTGACCTCCTGGGCTTAATTGATCCTCCCCAGTCAGCCTCCCAAATAGCTGGGACTACAGGTGTGCAACACCATGCCTGGCTAATTTATGTATGTTTTGTAGAGACGGTTTTTCATTATGTTGTCCAGGCTGGTCTGGAACACCTGGGCTCAAGCAATCCTCCTGCCTCAGCCTCCCAAAGTGCTAGGATTACAGATGTGAGCCATGGTACCCAGCCTTAATTTCTTTGTAAAAGTCCTAAAGAAAATAGAGAGTAGCATTGTATTTATTTGCTAAAAGAGAGTCAATTTTGGGAGCCCCATTACCAATATGAGGCTCTCCCTACAAACCCCGAATGTCAGTTTTTGTAACATGAGTGCCTGAAGAATCTTAATCTCTTAGCCAAGATGAAATCTTAGCCAACATGGAAAACAAAACAGATGACATCCTTCTAGGATAGAATATCTCAAACTTTTTGAGGATCCCTTATCATTCTCAAGAATTATTGAGGACCCAAAAGAGCTTTTGTTTTGTTTTGGTTTTTGGATGGTTTGGATGGGTTATTTCTATTGACATTAACCACATTTTCAGTTAAAACTGAGAATTTAAAAAATATTTTAATTCACTTAAATATAACACAATTAATTCATTACATGGTAGCATAAATTTTTTTTTGAAAAGTAACTGTATTTTCCAAAAGAATTTGTAAAGAGCAGCCTTGTTTTACATTTTTGCCAGTCTTTGAAAAGTGTCTAGCTTTACAAATGATGGTTGGATTTCCATATCTGTGTCTACATTCAGTGTGTTGCAAGATGTCCTTTTGTTTGTTTTTTGAAATAAAGTCTTGCTGTGCTGCCCAGGTTGGAGTTGAACTCCTGGGCTCAAGCGATCCTGCTGCCTCAGCTTCCTGAATAGCTGGGACTCACTGTGGGTGTGCACCACCACACATGGTTTGGAAGATGTCCTTTTGACTGAAGCGTGTAAAGAAAATCTTGCTTCACATTGATACATAGTTGGAAAACGAAAGAGCTTGTGGGTCTCAGGAAAGGATCTCAGGGGCCTGGGTTCCATGGACTATGCTTTGAGAACTGATTCTTTGATGGTGAGCCCAAGTCATCAGCTGAAGACAAGAGTTTCAGATCTAAGGACCAAAACTTGTCTACATAATCCAGGTTGACCAGGAGGCAGCAGTCAAGAAGAAAGATGTGTGGTCCCTAGAATGTGGTGCAACCAGGGATGTTTATGGGCAGGGATTGGGGATGGGGATGAAGGGTACATCTAGTGGAGGTGTCTAAAGTGGTTGTTGCAAATCATTCCTGCTGTTTTATAGGCCCACTATTTTAGGCATTAAAAAAATTTCTGTGTAGTCTCTCCAGGACATTCAGATGCCTCCTGAAGCCTTGTTCAACGTTTTTGAGGTGTCTTTGTGAGATGATCTGCAGTTAGGCCCTTTTGTTCAGTAAAGTAATGTGCTTTATTCAGAATTTTCCCTAACGGATTTTTTTCCCTACTTTGCCTTTTTCAGAAAGCTCATAATCTCCCGTTTTCGAGCAACGGTGTCTCTTGTTGTCTCATCTCCAGAGAATAGTCAATTTAGCAGTCTGAGGAATAGTCTGTAGGTTCAGATCTTTTGCAAGTTGTCTCATTTCCCTGGGAATCTGGCTGTAGAACTGATTAAATCTCATCAGTTCTGTGACCCTTTTTCCTGGTGCCTGCTTCAGCTTTCTGAATCCAGTCACTAAAATGGCCAACAGGTTCAGCAGCAAAGTCTATTAAGGAAAGATCCCTGTTACCCCCTGCCTTATGGAATGAGGCTCCATGACCTCTCTCAAGTGGGTTTAAAATCTATTGGTCCTTTTCCACATTTTAACTTTATAGTCCAGATTAGTCACAAAATCCCCATTTTAGCATGTGGCCAAAGACATCTCCCAGATGTTGACTGGCGGTTTGTGAAGGAACTTTGCACAGAAGGATATCCCTTATTTAGCATGCCTTCGTGTTGAGTCCTGGCAGAATGTCCACCCCATCATAGGGTCAAAGAAACTTCCCTTTCTCTTCAACCATCTTCCTTTCTTTTTCCATTTCTGCCTGGCCTTGCCTTGCAGACGGAGACAGAGATGTGCTTGGAGCCAACTTCAACCTCGGTCTCTGCTTCTTAACTCTCACTTCCCTTCAAGTCACCTGTGGAGTTTCTAAAAACAGAGCAACTTTGGTCAGAGGAGGAGAGATTAACTCTCTGTACTAGCATCTTTTTCCTCCAGCCTCCATCCTTTCTCCTCCTCTCTTCTACGCTCACTGACCTTTTCAGCAAGAAAGGAAATTAATGTTAGTTGAGTGCCTCCTATGTCCCAGCCACTTCCTGAAAACATTGTCTATTTCATTTAATCTAAAATCACCTTACAGATCTTTACTTTTTAGATGGATAAACTGATACTGAACAAAGCCACCCAAGGATCTGTCAGACGACATTTGTGCTCTTGGATCACTCAGTGCTGTGCTGCCTTAGCCCAGGAATGCCCTGAATTGTTTTCCTTCCAGAGACAAGGTCTGCTACATTTGAGTTCTCTTTCTCATTTTCTTGCCATGTGAAATGAAAGTAATTCCTCAGTCCTGTCAATACCACCCTTTTCATAGTGCTCATGGTTGTCTCCCAGTACCACGATTCCCCTTTGATCGTTTTATACTTCAGGTCTTGTTCGGTCTCAGCTGCCCTCCGATGATGGCTGCCTCACCGATCCCCCTCACTCTACTCTCACCTGTGTGAGAAGCAGCAGAACCTGTGACTAATGGTCAAGGGCATAGGTGCTGCAGCCAGACTCCCCATTTCATACCAAAGAAAGACCAAACCCTTGAGCTTGGCCTTCAGCTCTTATATTATCTTCCTCCAATCTATTTTCCAAACTTCTTTTCCATTAAATTGCCACATACACCTTCCAGCAACCAGAGCTTCTGGACATCTCTGTCTCATATTTTTGCTTCCTTGTCTTTATGCCTCTGCACAGCTAACTCTCTGCACATTAAAATTCCGTTCTTTTTCAAGATACAAAAACCAATGGAATTCTTTCTCAAGAACGCTTCCCTGATCTTCCTGGCAGACAGTAATCTATTTACTTTGTTGACTCCCACAGTGTTTTATTAGACCTCTCTTTGGCACTTCATCATGTTTTATTATTGATTGTAGTTATTTGTGTATCCATCTACCCAACTGGAATGTAAACCCCTCAAAACGGGGAATGTGTTGTATTAATATTTGCATTCCCCTAAGTGTCTATACAGTGTCTTTCTCATAATGAGAATTCAATAAAAATTGTGTTTAAATGACTGGGATATGAGTTTTATCTAATAATAATAGCTACCATTTATTGAGCTCTTCCTCAATGCCGAGTACTGTGGAGGAGGGCTTAATGAGTATTATCTCATTCAATCTTCACAATTTTACGAGGTACTTGTTTTCATTCTTCCCATTATTCAGATGAAGATATTGAGTCACAGATAGGTTAAGGAATTAGCCCAACATCAAACAGCTGATAAATGACATAACCTGAACTGGCCCCCAGTGCTATTCAACTCCAAGCCCAAACTGCATTAGAGTGCCTCCTCTGTTGTCAAAGGAAGACTTTATGGAGTTAGATCAGTGCATACACACGTATACAGTCATGTGTCAGTTGACAACAGGGATATGTTCTGAAAAATGCCTTGTTAGACAATTTCATCATTGTGTGAACAACATAGAGCACACTAATACAAACCTAGAAATATAGTATAGTCCACCATATACCTAGGCTACATGGTTTGGACTATTGCTTCTAAGCTACGGACCTAGGCTACATGGTATGCCCTGTTGCTGCTAAGCTGCAGACCTGAACAACATGTCATTATACTAAGTGCTGTAGCCAATTGTAGTATAATGGTAAGTTTTTGTGTATCTAAACATATCTAAACAAAGAAAAGATACAGTAAAAATACGATATGAAAGATAAAAATGGCACACCTGTGTAGGGCACTTAACATTAATGGAGCTTGCAGGACTAGAAGTTGCTCTGGGTGACTTAGTGAGTGAGTGGTGAGTGAATGTGAAGTCCTAGGACATTGCTGGATGCTACTGTGACTTTATCAACACTGAAGACAGGCCACACTAGATTTATAATAAAGTATTTTTCTTTCTTCAACAGTAAGTTTAAAACCTTTGCTGACTGTAACTTTTTTTAACTTTAGAAACTTTAATTTCTTAAAACTTTTTGACACTTTTGTAACAACACAGCTTGAAACACATTGTACAGTTGTACAAAAATATTTTCTTTCTCTATATCCTTAGTCTGTAAGCTTTGTTCTAATTTAAATGTTTTAAAATTTATTTTTACATTTAAATATTTTTGTTAAAAATGGAGACATAAACACACACATTAGCCTGGGCCTGCACAGGTCAGGATCACTGAGATATCATTAGGTGATAGGAATTTTTAAGTTCCATTATACTCTTATGGGACCACCATTGTATATGTTGTCCATCATTTACCAAAATGTCATTCTGTGGCACATGATTGTGCTTTCTGGTACCTTCTGCCATCTCAGCAGTCACTTTCTCAGCACTCATAGCTCTATCTTAGCTAAAATGCACTTCCTTCTTTTTGGGAAGGGTAGATTCTAAGAGCAACCACAGGGAGACCTCTCCTGCCAGCTGTGCTCCCAAGGACAGGAATTGAGCTCCACTAGGTGGACTGACTGCAGTGAACTCTCCAAAGGATATGTCAGCATTTACACAAGGCTGATTAAAATGCAGCAAACAAATCATTCACTGCCTAATACGCAATGCATTGTAGCTTATTTGATAGCGTACTTATGCACACATTTTCAGAAATATTCTTGTAAATCTTGTATCAAACCCTTGGGGAGATATTGGTAGTAAGCAGAAAATCAGCAAACACATTGATCCTACATGCTCTGTGATGTTAGCAGTAGTCACGAAATTGAATTTCATTTTAACATATTAAAATCAATATACAGTGTTCAGTTTAATTCAGAACGTAAATAGCATCAAGGGTTTTCAAGACAGAGAAAATAATAGTTCCTAACTTGGATATGTATGTATTATTATACAGGCAACTTTCCATTATTTAGAACTAGTAAGACCCTGAAATAGAAAAATACCTTGCTCAGCTTATCAGATTGAACAGGAACTCAAGTTCTCAATTGATCAGAATCAGTGGCTAAAAAGGGGTTCTCATGTTAAATTAACATGGAAAGTTTAGTCATTTTTCTCTGTAATTTTATTTCAGAATAAAATTTTGCCCTAAATGGCACTTATCACGTCTAATTCTCTAAACTGTATGTTACTACATTACCTTGCATAAAACTCCAGTGGGAGAGTGTTGAGAATATTTTTGCAGCGTGTTACAAAACAAAACAAAATTCTCTTTGCCATTGGTATGGTTTGGGTCTGTGCCCCTGCCCAAATCTCATGTTAAACTGTAATTCCCAATGTTGGAGGTGGGGTCTGGTGGGAGGTGATTGGAACATGGATGTGGATTTCCCTTTTTGTACCGTTCTCATGATAGTGAGTGAGTTATGGCGAGATCTGGTGGTTTAAAAGTGTGTAGCGGCTGGGCACGGTGGCTCGCCTGTAATCCCAGCACTTTGGGAGGCTGAGGTGGGTGGATCATGAGGTCGAGAGATCGAGACCATCCTGGCCAACATGGTTTAACCCCATCTCTACTAAAAATACAAAAATTAGCTGGGTATGATGGTGCGTGCCTATAGTCCCAGCTACTAGAGAGGCTGAGGCAGGAGAATTGCTTGAACCCGGGAGGCGGAGGTTGCAGTGAGCTGAGATGGAGCCACTGCACTCCAGCCTGGCGACAGAGCGAGACTGCATTTCAAAAAAAAAAAAAAAGTGTGTAGCACCTCCCCATTGTCTCTCTTCCTCCTGTGCTGGCCATGTAAGACATGTCTGCTTCCCCTTCACCTTCCACCCTGATTGTAAGTTTCCTGAGACCTCCCAGCCATGCTTCCTGTACAGCCTGTGGAACCATGAGCCAATTAAACCATTTTCTTTATAAATTACCCAGTTTCAGGCATTTCTTTATCACAGTGTTAGAATAGATTAATACAGACATTATGAGGGATGTGGGCCCAAGCGATGCCCCTTATTTTGGGATCTGGGAATCTGAAGTTCAGAGTTTGAGGACTCCCAGATTCTCTCACAATATTCTTCTGCTTTTCCTTCACACATCTCTAATATTATGGAGAAGGTGGGGAATAGCAGTTATTGCGATTATTACTGTATGATTAGTGTAGGCTCGTTAAAGACATGAAAATATGCCAGGGACGACACTGAGTTCTCCACACATGTGATTTAGTTAATACCCTTACTGCCCTCCCTGAAGTAGGCATTATTATTTCTATTTAATTGATGAGAAATAGAGACTTAGAGGAGTAAAACGATCTGTCTGAAGTCACATGATTTCTAAGGAACAACTGAGATTTCCACCTGGGTTTGTGTGACTCCACCTCTCAGGCTTTTTTCCATGACTGGACTGGAGGAGGGATTGCTGTTCTCTTGGACAAAATTGTATTCAACTTCAAATAAATAAAGCCTCACCTTTAGTGAGACTTGAAATCAGAAGATGAGAGAACGGTTTATGACCCAAGCATGAAAGTATGTATTTTCCAAAGCCCAAAGGTAAGAAAGAGTTGACACAGGTAATGTTCAGCAGCAGTGATTTTGTGGCTAACACATTCTTCTATTTTCATCATTGCTGCTGGGCCTGATGGATGTGATATTTCTGTAGGATCTCTTTTAAATGTCTAAAAGGCTAAATAGGAAGTATGTAGTCTACTGGCTAGTTTTTCAAAGTGCCTGGCTGTAGGAGTCAGGCTTGTAGAGCACATTCATCTTTTTACTCTCTCATACTGGTATGTGTGATGTCCAAAGTATACGTAATCATCCAGTCAAAAATGCTTATTGCCTGTATTACCTAAGCACTCTGAAAAAAATAAAAATCTCCTCAGTGGTATTTAAGTAGTCCTGCTTTTATCCTTAGAAGAATATATATTACCTGCTGGTTTCTAGATTTCTTGTGGTGATTGAGGAGAGCTGCACTTTTAGGAGCCACTTCTCAGGTTAGAATCACAAGGATGTTGTGAGGTAATGTCTGGAAAGCACTTTGAGCTCCTTTGAGAAAGGTGCTACATCAATACCATGTATTATTATTTATTATCAGCCTGAGAGAAAAGCACGGGCAGGAGATGCCTTTTGTTCCCTTCCCTGGATACAACAGTGCTGTGGCTTACATAGATTTCAGTTGTGGGGATGTTCCAGCACTTGCAGTCTTTGACTGGAAAAATGCAGGCTGCTAGGGAACACTCCAGGGAGAGAGGATCAGTTTAGTGCTACAGATGAAGAAGGACAGACTCTGAGGTTGTGCAGGCCAATCACACTCTTTCTTTAATAAGCAGAAGCTGTTTCTCCTGTTGGGAAATTTAATTCCCAGAGTGTGTGTGGGATGGGGGAGGAGATGCATTTTGCATTTCTGGAGATTCCGAAGCACTCTTTGAAAAGAAAAAAATCAAAGTGCTCAATACAGTATCCTGTGAGCTGGGTTCTGTTGCTTCCCGCCCATTCTATTTGTAAAATGAATACCCTCCTTGAGTTGAGCAGCTTGAGCTCACACAGTCTCCTCAGTGCCTTAAAATAAAAATAAACCTCATCCTTCTTGGCTGCAACAAAATTCAAGTCAATTTTAAAGTTCCAGCTCAGATGTCATTATTTCCTCTTTAAACTTTAAAAAATAGTTGTTATGGATTGAGTTTCGTTCTCCCGTAATTCATATGTTGAAGTCCTAACCCCTAGTACCACAGAGAGGAGCTGTATTTGGAGGAAGGGGTTTCAAAGAGGTAATTAAGGTTAAATGAGGTCCTTGAGGGTGGACCCTAATTCAATGTGGCTGAGGTTCTTAGGAGAAGAGGAGATTAGATCCCAAACACACAGAGGGAAGATCATATGAAGACAGAGAAGACAGCCATCTGCAAGCCAAGCAGAGATCTCAGAAGAAATCAGTCCTAATGACACATAGCTCTCAAACTTCTAGTTTCTAGAATTGTGAGAAAATAAAATTCCGTTGTTTAAAGCCACCCAGCCTGTGGTACCTTGTTGCAGCAGCCCTAGCAAACTAATACAATAACCAAAAAGTAATCAGTAAAAAACATCGTGTACTCTAAATTTTGCCACTCAAAGTGTGATCCCCAGGCCAACAGTTTTGGTGCCACCTTGGACCTGGAAAGCACCTTTGGAATGATCTGCCTTTTAACAAGCTCCGCAGGTGATCTGTGTGCATATAAAGGGCTTTCATTTTGTTTTTTTTGTTTTGTTTTTTATGGATTTTTTTGAGACAGAGTTTTGCTCTGACACCCCTGCTAGAGTGCAGTGGCATAATCTCGGCTCACTACAACCTCTGCTTCCTGGGCTCAAGCCATCCTCCCAACTCAGCCTCTCGAGTAGCTAGGACTACAGGCGCTTGTCACCATCCCTGGCTAATTATTGTATTTTTAGTAGAGAAGGGGTTTTGCCATGTTGCCCAGGCTGGTCCTGAACTCCTGGCTCAAGCGACCCACCTGTCTTGGCTTCCCAAAGTGCTAGGATTACAGGCATGAGCCACCATACCCGACCCATATAAAGGTTTGAGGAGTGCTCTCTTTGAATTATTCAGCTTGCCTTAATGGGTAACAAACCACTCCAAAACCAAGTGTTTAAATCAGCAACAATGTGTTATTTCTCAAGATTCTGTGAGTTGGCTAGGTGGTCACTCTTCCAATTTCATTGGGGCTCTCTCATGTAGCTGCATTTGTGCAACCTTTGCTAAGCAACTTGATCTCACAAGACTTTAATAACATTTTTTGTTGTTGTTGTTATACATGTTGGTATGGCTACCTTATACTTAGGACTAATGGCACTAAATAGTGCCACTATTAACTGTATGTTGTTCAGGGAAGGGCAGGGCCAATGGATTGAATAGTATGGACTTGCTGGACCTGAATCCATGACCGCTGCTTTGCCACACCAGTGTCCTTGGTAGCCTTGAATTATGATACTGGTAGAGGCATTTAATAATTCCATTTATGGTGGGAATAAGAAATTTTATTTTTAAGTAAGTGCATTTTTTTAGAAAAGGAAGTCAGTGCAAAGACCATTACTAAGTAAATGATGTTCTAGGGTGTATGAGACTATAGCAAAAAGCATGAAGCTAGTATGTAAACTATCAAAGTTTGCAAAACACTCTCTTAGTTCACAATTTGCAAATTTTGTAAAAGGTCAAAGGCCCTCCTACTACTTTCAGTATATGTGGGGGTCTTTGAGAAGATGATAGGAAAATAAAAAGATGTGAGGTCATTAAGATATTTCTTCTTCCTTCAACCTCAGAACAGAATGGAGGTGAGAAAGTACCTCCCTATTTCCCTTCTTAACTGTGTTGCTTTTCAACCATGATTATTATGGTAATATCAGCACCTGATATTTATGTGGGATCTTATGGTTTGAAAAACTCTCACACATGCTTGATGTCATTTGATCTGTAAAGTATTTTATCTGTATGGCATTTTATCCTATATAGAAAGTAAGCAGAGTGATCGCTTGTCTTTGAAGCGAAGGAAGGTCTGGGTATTGTTGGAATCATTCTCTCAGTAGGGGCAGAGCTTCCCCTATATGCATAGTTTTCTATAAAGCTGATCCTATTTGTTGGAGGCCAACAGTGCCTTTGGTTTTCTGGGAATCACTGGATAAATCACAGTCAACATTAACCACATGTTTTCCAGGGAAGGGCAGGGCCAATGGATTGAATAGTATGGAGGGCTGGCTGGACCTGAATCCAAGACCAATGCTTTGCCAAATCAGCATCCTTGGTAACCTTGCATCATGATACTGGTAGAGCCATTTAATAATTGGCAATATTGGCACAAAGTAGTGTGCCATGTAAAGCACTCCTGTTCTTCAATTTCTACTTCAAATTGTCATTTCTTCCTCAGGTCCTTTGATGTGGAATTTCTTTCCCCCTTTACTTGCAATTCATAGAAATTTTAAGGTTTTTCTATTCTATTCGTGTTAAATGACTTTGTTTGGAGTTATGTTTGTAATGACTTCCAGTGCAAAAAGTGATTCCTTAAGAGCAGAAACAAAGTCTTACCAATGTTTGTAGTGACCACAGCCTCCAGTACCATGCTTTGTACATAGCAGGTGCTGAAGGAAGCTTACGGGCTTGAGATTAAAACATAAGACACAAAGTATTACCAAAAAGAGAAAAGATTCTAATAGTATGTTATTTTGCATCAATATTCTTTTGAGACTTTTATATTTTGTAAATTGTAGCCTAGGTATAAATTTTTCATGGTCCAGTTCACCTTTTTAAGAAACTTTCTGTCATCCTTTCTAGATGTGAGAATTTAGGTTCATTTAGGAGCTATGGCAGAATAAAATGCTGCTATCCTGGGATCTGCGAGCAGACTTTTATCTTTAATTTTAAAATATGTAATCCCTATTTCTCCACTGAATTTTGAAAATTACAGGCACACATTTTGTGAAACATTCCTGTTTTTCTTTAGTTGTGTGTACATTAATTAATGGTTATTTATACACATGTTAAAAATGTCTCAGATAATGTCACTTGAATAAGACTTTGTATAGGTAGAACTAATACAGCAATTTAATAATTTACATCAGCATTAAGATTGGCTTAGCATTCAAAATAAAAGCTATTTAAGCAGGCAAAGAATTTAGCAGTAGCTTTGTATGTTTTTATGTAACCTATAATTAAAATTATTAATGGTAGAAATCTTTCAGTAACTCTACAGAATAACAGCTTGAATTCTCATGAACACTTGGTTACTGTCTCTAATATTGAGGATTGTACTGGCTCATTTCATCCCAGGTCCTAAATTTACTAAGGGATAGTGTCAAACCATTATTTAAAGGCTACACAGTTTTCTGATCATGTGCTAACCCCTGAGCATATTTTGTTTATTTGTGTAATTACTCCTCTTAGCTGTGAGAATTTGGAAGTGCAAGTACAGGAACAATATCTGCATACCATATTGTATTTGTTTCATATTTTCATTTAAAAAACCCACACACATTCTGCAGTAAGATGATGACAAGCTAGAAGTAGTCCCTAATATAACCTTTCCCAGCTTCTCATGAAAATACTCGCAAACAGCTCAACATCTTTTAGAAAACAGAGGCTCTTGGAAAGTTCCAAAATGTCTCATGGGGGATTGAAATATACAGACAGGAAGAGCTACTGAAGAAAATAACCATTGATTGATGCTTCAAAAAGCAAGGGAAATAAGGTCAAAATGTATATATTGTAAAATTAAAAGTATGTTAAAGGGAATGAAAAGGTTTGAATGCTCCTGAAAATTAAAGTTAATACTAAACCGTATGGCAGAGTCTGAGGTGTGAAGGGGTTTGCCATCTGTGATTTGGAGGCACTGGTTTGAAGAACCCAGTTGTAGCCTACACATGCATTTGAACCTGAACAGCATGGCTGGCTGGCACGCAGGATGGAGGACGTGTTGACTCATCAGTCAGCCTCTTGGATGAAAGAGTAGGGGCAGGTAACTGGACAGCTATCACCTACGTTTAGGACACATCTTTTGCATTGGCCAAAACAGAAACAGCCTTTATTTTGTGTATACTGTTACTTACAGACTCCAATCATCCTGAGTTGGGTGGTAAACAGATGCATACTGAAATTCTAGACCATATTTTGTTATAAGGTAAAGATCAAGCCCAGACACACACACACACACACACACACACACACACACCACATCCATATTTATATATGGTTGTGCACATGTGCCCTTGGTAACATTTTGGAGAATTTGGAAACTATAATTTGTAAGGTTATATAGGCCAAATTTTCTCACCAAAATAAATGAGAAATTCTATTTTTAAAAATCTAGATAGAAATGTTCAGGCCCTTAAAAGCTAAAAAATACCGTCCTAAAACCTGGTTAACAGAAACCAACCATGCAGTTGTAGATTAATTTAAACATACAAATATGAGAATATTATACATCAAAATGTATGGCATATTTAAAGATATGCTAAGAAATATATTAACTATTAAAAGATAGAAAATGTAAGTCATTTAATCATTAAATTCAATACTTAGAAGAAAGCAAAGAAAACCCCAGAAAGTAAGAAGATAAAAATGATAAAACTGAGATAGGAGCAATACAAGGTGGTCGCAGGAGAATGGAAAATTCCTGAAGGCCGTTTCACATGACTGGCAAAAGGGAACTGTTGAAATAGCTGCAGAAGCTAGTTGCTGATAAGACCTGAAAAACCAGGGCATGGGCCAAATTTGCTAAGACTGACTGGACCCAACATGGCACTGGATTTGACTTAGGTTCACCTAGGGCCTCATTAGATGCTCACGAACATACTAAATCACACACACACCAGTGTCATGACAGTTCTGGGAACACACATATTTGATGCAAAAATGGGCGGCATCACAGTTCCAAGAAACCTCCACCTATTTCCAGGAATTTTTATGAATATTCTACCCCTTGGTTAAAGAAACCCATAAAGGTAGCGGCCCCAAACCCCCTTGTGTGACTCTCTTGAGTACACTCATACTCCCCTTTCTTGAATGTGTACTTTTCATTCTACAATAAATTTCCACACTTTCACCATTTTCCAACTTGTCCTTGAATTTCTCCTTGCAAGATAGTGTCAACAGCCTGGACACTGGCCAGGGTCAGAGGTCCCACCAACGTTTGGAGACCTCCCTTAGCCCACCAGCATCAAAACTAACTGCAGAAATTAGTGAGTTAGAAAGCAAAATGTGTGATTACAAAGTAAATCTGGCTGGGCGCGGTGGCTGACGCCTGTAATCCCAGCACTTTGGGACGCCGAGGTGGGCAGATCACGAGGTCAGGAGTTCGAGACCAGCCTGGCCAACATGGTGAAACCCCGTCTCTACTAAATACACAAGAAATTAGCTGAACGTGGTGGAGTGCGCCTGTAATCCCAGCTGCTGGGAGGCTAGGGCAGGAGAACCGCTTGAACCTGGGAGGCAGAGGCTGCAGTGTGCCAAGATCGTGCCATTGCACTCCAGCCTGGGCGACAAGGTGAGACACCATCTCAAAAAAAAAAAAAAAAAAAAGTGAATCTAAGAACTGCTTAATTTTCATGAAATTCGGCAAGATAAATGTTTAGCAAAGCTAATTAATTAGATAAAATACATAAAATTAGAAATAAAAGTTATAAAAACTGCTTACATGAGCATATTACGTACAATTTTATATTAATAATTTTAGTCTAAATGAAATACATGATTATTTGTGGGGGGGGGGACTATATATGCTCAAAATCGACCTAACAATTGAAAATCTGCAAGATAATTTTTTAAATCTAAAAAAGCTTTCCCAAGGTATTTGTACAATCAACAATTTTAAAATTATCTGCAAAATTTACTGAGAAAAAAAGTTACAAAGCAAAAGTGACATGCGCTTGGGTAGACACCAGCACGGCTTCACTAATCTCTGAAGCAAGGTGGACATGGTCCTCTGTCAACTGTCAGCCAAGGTCCTTAGGAGACTTTGATAAGCAGAGCCCCCTACTGACCCACGCTGAACGTATAACATGAATGAGAAATAAACTTTTGTTTTGTTAGGTCACTGACATCTTGAAGTTATTTATTACTACCTATTTTGTCTGATACTGACACTGATATAAAAATATATTCAACAATGTAGAATAAATAACCAGAAAACAGCCCGATTATCTAAAACAATATAATATGCAATAAAGAGGGGCTGGGTGCCGTGGCTTACACTTGTAATCCTAGCACTTTGGGAAGCCAAGCCGGAAGGATCACATGAGCCTAGGAAGTTGAGACCAGCCTGGGTAACACAACGAGACCCCATCTCTACTAAAAATAAAAAACATTAGCTGGGCCTGGGCATTGTGGCACATGCCTGTAGTCCTGTTTACTTGGGAGGTTGAGGTAGGAGGATCTGTTAAGCACAGTAGGTCAAGGCTGCAGTGACCCATGATTGTGCCATTGCACTCTAGTCTGGGAGACAGAGAAAGACCCTGTCTCAAGAAACATACAACAATCGAACAAAAGTAAATAAATAAATGAGGCATCACAGATAAGTGGGAAGGCACAGAGATAACTAGTTATATGGAAAAATAGAGATTTTGATTCTTACGTTATACCATAGAAGAAAAGAAAAAGTCAAGACATAAAAGTAAAAGGCATCATGAGGGTGAATACTGAAACTCTGAAGAGGGCTGTAGGCTTTTGAGGGGATTTAAAAACATTTGGAACTGGAAAAAAAGCTAACTCCAAAGAAAGACTCATAAAATTTAAACTAATAAATGTTAAATTAAATATTAAGAAACTAAAACCTAGTCTGCTGCCACTCAAGTCTTAAATACAGTAATTATATGAGTTCCAATCACAAAGATAAAATCAAGTAATGTCTTCTTAGCAAAACTCATAATTTAGCTTATAAGATCTTATAATCAACATTGAATTCATCTTGGAGAATCCCAAAGCATCATTGGCCAGACTTAGAGCTTGGGTTTTCAACTTGGCTTTTCTGCTTGTCAGAGATGTGAGCTCTGATAGTCACGTAACCTCTTGAAGACAGCTTCTCTTTCTGTGAAGGCATTGAGTCAGGTGATCTTAAAGTCTCTTCCAATTGTCAAATACTGTGATAATATAATTATCTATAGCAATCAAAATATTTTAAAATATTGTTAAAAGGAGATATAAAATAACACAAAACAGATTGGCTTAAAAGAGAAAGCATATATTTATAAAAGCATAGCCTTTCGGCCAGAACCACCATCTTCCAGTAAATCGCCAAAATGATAAACAAAAGGGAAAGAGGAGAGGCACCCAATATATGTTCTCTAGACCATTTAGAAAACATGGAGTTGTTTCTTTGGCCATGTACATATGAATCTATAAGAAAAGTGATACTGTAGACATCAAGGGAATGGGTACTGTTCAAAAAGGAATGCCCATAGGTGTTGCCATGGAAAACTGGGAGAGTCTACAATGTTACCCAGCATGCTGTTGGCATTGTTGTAAACAAACAGGTTAAGGGCAAGATTCTTGCCAATAGAATTAATGTGCGTATTGAGCACACAAAGCACTCTAAGAGCTGAGATAGTTTCCTGAAGCACGTGAAGGAAAATTATCAGAAAAAGGAAGAAGCCAAAGAGAAAAGTACCTGTGTTCAACTGAAGCCCCAGCCTGCTCCATCCAGAGAAGTGCACTTTGTGAGAACCCATGGGGAGGAGCCTGAGCTGCTGGAACCTCTTCTCTATGAATTCATGGCATAATAGGTGTTAAAAAAAAAAAAAGACCTGTGGACTGTAAAAAACAAACAAACAAACAAAAAAAAACATGTATTAAACAAGTTAGTCTTATTTTCCGCTTGGAATTCGACAATTTGATGCATGTGTATACTTAGATAAGATACAAAGAAGACATGTGAGTCTTTTACTGTAGCAAAACTCCAGAATTCCACAGTCATAAATTCAGTCTTATGACCTGGTGACCTATTTTTGATGAGCAAATTTTTTGCGAATTACCCAGTAAGAAGCCAACACACAAAGTAAAAGGATAACATATCATGACAAGTATTTAGGTCATTTATTTTGATATGTGAGGTTTGATTTTAATTATTCATACAATTTCATAGTGCAGGAATAAGTGTCTTGTGTTATTTTTCCAAAAACTAATGAAGGTGTCTAAAGATAAGCTCTCACTAGAGCACTTTTCTATGAAATTCTTACAGAAACATTTGTTTAGTGAAACTTGCCAAATTTAGATTACATGACATCAAAATGAGTGAGGTTCGGACAAACTAAATGTGTTTTAAACTTACAAAATAATAGAAAGTAGATATGTGCTTAAGAATAGGAAATTAAGTCACCAAGTAATAGTTCTGATTTTTGCCCATTCAACCACTACTGCCCCTTTTCAAGTCCAGCAGTCAGACTGGACTAGGGGATGAGATCCTAGGCTTTCTTTTCACATTCAAGAGAAGGAATAGGTTTTTATCAAAGGCTATGAAATACTAGATAATGTCAACATCTGTCATTGACAGGAACATGATTGTCAAAACATTTATGAAGTAGATACTCTGTGCCAAGCACCGTACCAGATTCTAAGAATATAAAGGTGAACACAACCCAGTTCTTACTCTCAGGGAGCCTGAAGTCTACTGTGGAGATAAACACATGTATTAGTAAGGATGAAAACACTATTCTCTGTAATATACAAACACCCAAAGTTCATATGACTCAACATAACATAAGTTTACTTCTTACTTGTGAGTGGCCTTCTATGTTGTCATTCAGAGGCTTGAGTTTCTCCCATTGTTGGCTTGCTTTCTCCTAGATCTGTGGGGTCTTCTGCTGGATCTTTGCATCCAATTAGAAGAGAGAGTGTGGAGAATTGCACCAGAGGAGTTCATGGGTAAGGACAGAGAGTGATACACATCCCTTCTGCGCACCTTCTATTACCCAGAACTTGGTCACAAAGTCATACATAACTGCTGTGAAAGCTGGAGACTGGGGAACATGGGCCAATTTTGTGCCCAGGAGGTGGGAGAAACGTGTCAGTTTGCTGTACTATGTGAAGAAAAGGGATCACAATTAGTGTTCATTATTATAACAGAGCTGGAATGCATTGTGTGGTGGAGGTCAAAGGAAGGAGGAAATGACCTCAGCTGGGATAAGCTCACACAGGATAGGAATTAGTTAAGGGCACCTATCAAGTTGCAATTGCAAGTTGCAATTGCAGTCATAGGCTCAATAAATCCTTGTAGAATAAATAGAATTAAAAGTATTCCTAAATTAGGTTAAATGAAACCTTGGGAAATTTATAATAAAAAACTATAGTGTTCATTTAGTTGAAATTTTTAATGTTTTTATTGTTGATTTTTACGCTGTTGTAAGATATAATACAAAGGATTTATTGTACACTCTAACCAGTTTCATCTAATGGTAATATTTTGTAAAACTATGGTAGAATATCACAACCAGAATATTGACATTGATCAAATCCACCATTGACATGATCCTTATTTGAATAATTCAAATTATTCATATTTTCCTAATTTTACTTGCACTCATTTGTGTGTATGTGTGTATTTCTATCTATGTTATCAATTCCGCACCCCGAACCACATGATACAGAACAGTTTCATCACCACAAGGACCTCTCCCCCACTGCTAACTTCTAGCAACCCGTCTTCTTTCCTCTATCTCTAAAATGTTGTCATTTTAAAAATGCTATATAAATAGAATCATACAATTGTAACCTTTAGTGGTTGGTTTTTTTTTTACTCAATATAATTTTCTGCATAGTCAACCAAGTTATTGTGTTTATCAACAGTTCACTCCTTTTTATTGCATGATGTATTAATTCCATGATATGAATATATCACAGTTTGTTTAAGCATTTGCCATTTGAAAGACATCTGGACTGATTCCAGGTTTTGGCTATTGCAAGTACACTGCTATGAACATTGAAACAGGTTTTTGCAGGAACATAAATTTCCATTTTTCTGGTGTAAATGTCTAAGAGTGAAATTTGCTGGGTTGTATCATATGGAAATCACATATTTAATTTTATAAAAAACTACCAAATTGTTTTCCAAAGCTGCTGTACTATTTTACATTCTCATCAGCAATGTAGAGAGATCCACTTTATCTGCATCCTAACCAGCATTCCATGCTGTCATTATTTTTTGTTTTAGTCATTCTAATAGGTGTGGTTTTAATTTGCGTTTCTCTGGTGGCTAATAAAGGTGAACATCTTTATCAGCGCTTATTTTCCATCTGCATATCATAACCATATTGTTTTTTATTTTAAAGAAGTTTAGAGGTTTTCCAGTTCTTACAAGTAATTTCCCCTTCTTTTTATTTTAATTTAAAAAAATTGTGGACAATTCCTATTCATCTTTGTACACCCCATCTAAACTTCCTGTTTTCTTTGAAGCCATCTTCAACTCTCGAGCCTAGTTAATTAAACCTTTGTCTGGCTTCCACAGGCAAAATGAATCTCTGGCTTTGCTCGGTTCCAGTTTGTTTTTCTTTCTATTGTAGCTGTTACCAAAGCATGTTTTCATGAAGATGATTACCTGTCTGTGCTTCCCACTAAACTGTGTCCTGAGGGAAGGGACTGTCTTACATATTTTTGTCTCCTCAGGACCTAGTATGATGTCTGGTGCACTTAAATCCTTAATAAACATTTTCAATGACTTTGAGTGCTTTATGTTCTGCCTCTTTCCCCGAAGGATTTGAGGGTCTACTTTTTGGGCAGACACCATGCCGGACATTTTCACAAATGCTATCTCATTTAATTCTCTGAACCACCATGAGGTATAAGGATTAGCTCTCTATTTTGCAGCGAATGAAGCATAAACTCAGAGATTTAAGTAATTTGAAAGTTAAGACATCAGCAAACAGCGGAGCTAACCCTTGGCTGTGGATACTTTCGTTGCTATGCCATATTGCACAGAGGGGGCACAAGAGAGCTGTGTTCTCCCCCCTGCACTAAGGCGCCCCCGCCCCGATTTCACTCACTGTCTGCTACAAAATTGGTTCGTGCATACTACTGACAGTCTGTGCCTTTCTGGCCCACCACCTCAGAATGGGCAATGGCCATTGCTACATCGCCCTTCCCTGACTTACCCTTCCCAGAACACCTTCTTCCCCACTAGCCCCGAGGCTTAAGGCTTTTATTAACTTCACTAAAAAACTCTGCCAATGTCTTCATGGCTCTCCATTTTCTGTGGTGACCCCTGTGCCTTTAGCCTTTGGGTTTTTCCTTCCCATTTCACCTCTAACCTCCCCATACCATCTTCCTAGTTTTATAACACCTATTTCTCAATGGAATTAGATTCCAGTTAATTGGACGTTTTTGAGAGCCTATTGTGGAAAACACGCAATAGACTGTACGAGGAAGACAAAGATGGAGGCAGTGTCTTTTACTCTTAGAAAATTACCATCTAAGGGAAGTACAAAAAATAAAATCCCTATTCTTACTATATATGGCACTTAAGGTGCAGGCACTCTTTCTTTAGTTAATTCTGCTCTCAAATGCCCCAAATTTATACAAATGAAAAGCCAAAGGGGACGGTGCTCTGGTACCAACCTGAAACCTGTCCCATCACCAAGACAAGGCTGTGTTCCACCGTGCTCCATTTAATGATACTAACCTCACTTTTTTTCTTTAATATTGTTTGAATACTGAGAGCTTAGTGATTTTTTTTTTCATGTGAAGGAAGCACTGATGAAAAATAGACTCCAGATAGAAGAAAGTACTATTATTTATGTATCAATTTAATAAAAAACATCTTGAACAAAGTTTATAATATACTATGAATAAAAGATAAACTCTAGAACATTATACCTTGAAACAACCTAAGTAAAAGCAATGAAGTATTAAAATTTCATTCCTTTACTCTTT
Source organism: Homo sapiens (assembly GCF_000001405.40). Taxonomy (NCBI): domain Eukaryota; kingdom Metazoa; phylum Chordata; class Mammalia; order Primates; family Hominidae; genus Homo; species Homo sapiens. Next base: position 78,765,795 of record NC_000013.11, read on the forward strand.
ACGGGAACAAACTGGTATTAATAACACCTCATCAATTCTATGATGAACAATTTCACCTCTGAAATTGAGACCTGTCTTAGAGGTAATGACACTGCATAGTTTAATTGGCACCATTTTTTCCTTCTCAGTGTTACAAAAATGGTGCATCTTGCAATAGACGGTATCTTGGATTCTATGATATACAGTATCTGTTTGTCAGGTCCTAAAGGAAAAGAGAACTATCCCCATCTTATTTGATCTTATAGCTCTAGTCAGGGAGATAGATGTGTAACAAGATAAATTATTAGGTAAAGGGACAAATGCAGACAAGTGTGGCTGTGCAAATACCAAGGGAAGTAATGAGGTGTCCAATTCAAATCCATTCCTTTCTTCTTTCTTGTTGGCAGCAGGTACTCTCAGAGGGGAGGAGGTGGGTACAAATGTCTTTTACAAGCTGAGAGAGGCTGCAAAACACTTGTAAAGATGTTTAGTCATCTGTCCTTGCTGGGTGCCTGACTCCAATTTTTAATTTTTATTTATGTATGTATTTATTTTTAACCAGAGGCCAAATGGATTCTCAAAACCATGGCTGGCAGAACCAAATTTCATTTGGGTGTTTCCCCTACCTCTTAGGGTACAGTCTGCTCATGGAAAGAGCTTCTCTCCAGCCCCAGGGGCACAAATCCTGATTAGGGAAGGCAATTAAAGTCAGCCATCCAGTTCCCTTCCCAATGACTGGTGGAGGCCTCAGCATGTGATTTCATCTTGGCCAATGACATATGGAGAGCAGTCTACGGGATAATTTCTGAAAAATGTTTCCTCAGTGATAAAAAGATGCTCAGGAAGAAACGTTCTTTTTTCTTTTGAAAAACTTGCTTTGAACCATTATACCCTTCATCCATATAACCAAAGCCACTTGTACTCCAAAAGCTATTGAAATAAAAAATATGTAAAAATATGATATATTAATATGTATACTACTGACTCTGTTAGCTACATTTTGTTTTACATCTATGATCATAAGTGAAAATGGTTTAATAATTTTATTTTTATATTATCATTATTTGAGAATTTAAAATTCTAGTCTCATTTTTAAAAAGGCAAAAGCCCAAGTGGTGAGGATTGCAGAGGGGGAGACTGGAGAGAGTGTGTATCCCTGATCTTAGATGTTGTTATTGAGCTCCCGGGTTAACCTGCCTGAAAGCCGGACTTCTTATTATGTGAGACTATATGTTTTCCTCATTGTTAGGACCTTTCGAGTGGATATTTTCTTCATTGCAGCCTAAAATATTTTAATTAAGATTGTGGCTAACACTGCCTAGGGGTATTGGGAAAACACTGTTCAAAATAGGTAAAATTCGAATCGGGTCTTGTAAAATAAAGACAAGGCATGGGGAGAGGAAAGAGTACTTGCAAAGGCAAGAGAACAGTGCTTGCAAACGTAAGGTGTGATTGACTAGGCTGTGTTGGTGTAACAATAAGAAATTTCATTTTGCCATAGAATAGAGATAAGGCTGGGAGATGCCAGAAAAGGCTTTTTTGTATCATGTCGTGGAGTTTACTTTTTTTTTTTTTTTCCTGTTGGCAACATGGAACCAGTGGAGCTTTAAAATAGGTGGATGCCTTTAAAAGATTTATATATTAGTCATCAAACTTTGGTGGCAGAGTGACACATGGAGTGGGTAGAAGCTGATGGCAAAAAGATTAGGAGAGATCAGACTCTTTTAAGTTATTTGTTTTTGTAAATGAAAAAACGTCTTCACATATCTTCACATAAACTTAAGCAAAAAAAAAAAAGTCCTGTATAATTGAAAATCTGGAGACAGAACTTGCTACAGAGCTTACTGGATTCAGCTGCTCCTATGGTGTTGTCAGGATTCTGCCTGTCTCTCTCTTGCTCCTTGCATTTTGTGGTTTGCTTCTCTCTGGGTTGGCTTCATTCATAGCCAGTTCCCTGGCTACATTAATTTTCCATCACTGTCAGAAAATCATCCCAGAAAAAAGAACACCTATTTCTCAAGAGCTCCAGCAAAAGCCCTGTGATAAATTTCACTGGCTTGCCTTGAGCTCCATATCATCATCCTCAAATGAATTACAGTGGCCAGAGAATTTGAGCATTCTAATTGCTCAAGCCTAGTCATATACCCACACCTGGACTCAGGGGGAAGAATCGCTGAATGACAGATTGAGAAAGGGAGTGATTCCCCTGAAGGGAAAAGAAGTGTAGGGATACAGAGCAGATTTAACTAGTAGTTATGCCCCATGAAGAGAATATAGTCCATGCCAAAAAAAAAAAATTGATCTACACAAAGGCATGGAACTGGGAATTGAGAAAATAGGCTGACCTTCAGTGTGGGAGGTGATACTATTTGTTGTTAGTTTTACAGATGAGGAAACTGAGGCTTAAATAAGAAAAACAATTTGCTGGTAGTCCCATAGCTTGTTTTTTTATTCTTTTAAAATTAAATTTAATTCTTTTTTTTTTGAGATGGAGTCTCGCTCTGTCGCTCTGGCTGGGGTAAAATGGCACAATCTTAGCTCACTGAAACCTCTGCCTCCCAGGTTCAAGTGATTCTCCTGCCTCAGCCTCCCGCATAGCTGGGATTATAGGTATGAACCACCACACCTGGCTAATTTTTGTATTTTTAGTAGAGACAGGGCTTCACCATATTGGCCAGGCTGGTCTCAAGCTCCTGACCTCAAGTGATCTGCCTGCCTCGGCCTCCCGAAGTGCCTGGATTACAGGCGTGAGCCACCGGCGCCCAGCCAGTCCCATAGCTTGTAAATGGCAAATCTAGGATCCAAACTAGGTCTGTGTGACTCCAAAGTCCATGATTCTAACCCATACGCAACAAGGCCTCCTAATGAACAGCTGAAGAAGGGGAATGGGAGTGGAAACCAATTTACTAGTATGCTCACTCCAGCTGCCTAAATGAGAAAGGAATAAAAAGGAAATCATGTGCTGTCTCTCTTACCCAACTTCATCCTAAAGAAAACTGAGGGAAGTTGGAGAAGAAAGGTGTACAGGGAGGTCCTACCCTAAACTGAAGTTCTTCAGCCTCAGCCCCATTGACATATTAGGCCAGATAATTCCTTGTTGGAGTTGGGGAAGGATGTCCTGGGCATTGCAGGATGTTTAGCAACATCCCTGGCTTCTACCTGCTAGATGTTTGTAGCACCTTCTTCCTGTGTGACAACCAGAAGTATTTCCAGAATTCTCATATGTCTCCTGAGGAGCAAATTCTACACTCCCTAACTGTAAATCCTTCCTTGCCCCTACCTCCACTGGAAGAAAAACCTCCACCTTAGATAGAGGCTAAGGCCTGGCAGGCTACCCTGAGCTGTGCTGTCCTCTGCCTTAATGGAGGCCCTGCCCCACTGTGAGCTCCAGTATTTTCAGCGTGCCTACTCTCTCCCCAGAGGAGACTCAGACCACACCATCCTTCTCAATCCTGAAGACAAGCTAGATTGCATCTCTTTGCTCCTGGCCCTTGGAACTGTATGATTTCTGGGAATGTTTTTGGGTAGGAAATTCACAGTTCCTGGGGTCCTGATATTTTCTGTTTATCAATGACAAAGACCATATGAGGAGGAAAGACCACATAGACAGTAGGTCAAAAGCAAAGGCAGATTAGTCATTATTGGTTAATTCAATTGAGTTTTGCCACTTAGATTGCCTGCACTGTATTGGAGGCCACAGAGTGAGAAGGGAACAACCTAATTTCACCATTTACAAGAATTGTGACCCAGGGCAACTTCCCTGAGCCTCAGTTTTCTACAACGTGAAACTGATAAGATGCCCATGCCTCTGAAGTCATGATTTTATGGAGCAATAGCGCTGAGCAATTACAAATTTGGCTATCATCAAAAGGCCAGATAGTCAATATTTGCTATTTTAGATATAGAGGAGCATAAGAACTATGCTTCCAAAAGAAACAGCCTCTAAAGATGACCACTGATAAGGTTTGGCTGTACCCCACCCAAAATCTCATCTTGAATTGTAACAATCCCCACGTGTAAAGGGAGGGACCAGGTGGAGATAATTGAATCACCGGGGCAGTTTACCTCATACTGTTTTAATGATAGTAAGTGAGTTCTCACGAGATCTGATGGTTTTATAAGGGGCTTTTCCCCACCTTCGTTCCGCATTTCTTGCCGCCACCATGTGAAGGGTGTATTTGCTTCCCCTTCTGCCATAATTGTAAGTTTCCTGAGGCCTCCCCAGCCCTGCAGAACTGTGAGTCGATTAAATCTCTTTCCTTTATAAATTACCCTGGGTCACATATTTCATCATAGCAACATGAAAACAGACTAACACAACCACCATCCCCCGCCAAAAAAAAATGAGGGAGAGAAGATAGAAGTAAAGCATTTAAATATGCTTCTGAAAAAAAAATCACTTCTGTAGAATATTTGTTAACCTATGTGGTTTAAATTAGATATTTTTCTGTTTAGTTTCTGATCTTTTCAAGTCCTAAAAGAGGCTAATTTTCAAGTTTTGATATTATCTCACATAAGAAAAATTAATATGGAAAGACAATCTATTACTTTTATTACTTGTATTTGGAGAACTTGGGCCTCTGAATCTCCAACTAGAGAAGGCAGAGATCTTTCAAATTCAGATTCAGATGTAAAACAAAAGCAGGTGACTTTCTGATATAGAAAAGGGGAGAGAAAGGGGTAAAAACTTGAATGCTTTTGTTCTTATGTCTAACTGGCAACATAAATATTATTGATTTCTTCTAAAATATTTTTTAAGTGTTAATGCTCTCATAAAATTTTAAATTTTAAATCACTTTAATATCAAGTAACAGACTAAGATACTTGAGTGAAATTCACTAATCTGTTTTTGCCAAAGAGCAGACCCGCTCTTCCCATATGGACCACAGGGCTCCAGCTCTCTAGTATCCTCTGGCTATTTTCTCACTTGGACTCCAATAATTACCCCTCTACTGGTTTAGTACAGCTTTCTTAACTCCTTGTAATTCTCAATGTCTTTGCCCTCTTTGCTTCCTCTTTTTATTCTGTTTAGACATTGTGTGTTTTGCAATTAGACTATGTTTATTTGGTATCACCAGGAAGTACTTACTAATAAGGGAATTTCAGAAACACTAACTTTAAAAAAATATACTATTGATAAAAATCTTTGCAAATTATATCATTAATTTTCATGCTTTAGTTAACAATGAATTGACCACATTTGAATTTTGCTTAAAAAGCAGTCTGGTGGAAATATAGATGATATCCTAGAAACTGAGGTTTATGGGATTAATTGAGTTTTATTAATATTTATTTCAACAAAGATTTATTGAGAAATCATTATATTTTGTACATTCTCTTGTGTCGGCATTATATTCTTCCTGATCACCATGATATTGAAATTACACAAAATCTAATATATAAGATTAAGGGGTTATACATTTTTCCTATTTTTTTTAATTTTCAGAAAACAGGAGACAAAAATTACAAAAAAAATGCAGTCAAAATGCACTAAAATTTGACATATCTATACATATATTCAAGCAAGTTTATTTTTTTTTTTTTGGTTCCAGCAACTTTCACCTTTCTGTGAGATCAAACACAAATGCAAAACAGAAGAAAGTGGAAAATGTAACTGAATCTGATAAAATAATTGTAGCAAAGACCTAGAATATCACTCTGAGATGAAAGGAGAAATACCCTGCTTTTATAAGAATAGACAACAGTTGATTAAATTTAAACACAGATGAGACTATGCTTATACTTCACATCCTTCAGTTCTATGAGGAAGTAAACAGCAGAGGTTACAGATTATGATAATAAGACTAGTGATTAGTATGACTGCCAGGGAGGCCGAGTGGCACAAAAGCCCACTGATAGACTGCAGCAAGAATTAACTGAAGTACAACTACCAGTTCCACTGATAAAGGCTCTATTTTAACGTGAACTTTGAGAAATTGCAAAGAGCAACTGAAAAATCTTCAAAAGTTATTATAAAGCCTAATTAAAAAATAATTGGCCGTTGATCACAGAAATGGCAAGGGCACTGCATATACAAAAGGCTTAGTGAAAAGAGCAGTCTGTGGAACAGAAAGTAATTCCATATGATTAGGGGAACAGTATGGTTAAAAGATGAGGCTAAGAGAGATCAACAGAAGTCAGATCAAAAGGGCCTCTAAGCAATCTTACAGGTGGGTAATGAGAGCCACTAAAGGCCTAAGTAGAGGAATGACATGATCACATTTGTGATTGAAAAGATGATGGGCAGCAGTGTGAGAGCAAAAGGGAGAGGGTGAACCTAGAGGCAGAAGACATTTAAAAAAAAACAACTCAGGCAATGGGGGCTGATGGGTTGCATGAGAATGGAGAGAAGAGGACAGGTTGCAGAGACACTTGGGAGGCCAAAGCATGACAACCTGATGGCTGATTGGATGTTATATTTAAATGATATTTCATAAACAATGCCTTAGTGTTTTCCTTGGGTAACCAGGTAAATGGGGGGACCATTCCCAGAGATGGGACAGCAAAAGAGCAGGTTTGGGGAAGAAAGAGATAATGAATAAAATTTGGGACACAATTAGTTAGGGAACATCCACTTGGAAATGCCCAGGAATTATACATAAGGGTTTGAAGCTCACTGGGGAAGAGATTTAGGCTGATGGTAAATATGCAAAAGCTATAGAATTGAAAACACTTTAGTGCAGGCTACATTCCATTATACATATTTGTTTTCCTTTCTAATTTAACTCCTCTTATGAAACTGCACAGAAAGCACTTACAATTCCATCTTCTGTCCCTGAAATTCAGCTGGGTCTGCATTAACTTGAAATATTGATCAGCATATTTGATTTGCAATATCTACTTCCTATTTGGAACTTTAAAAAGCAGATAGGAATGTAAAAAATGTGTGGAACATGTGGAAATTGACATCTAAGGCTTAAATTTCACTGTAATTTAATAGTCTTTTAACTGGGAATCAGTCTGTATGGTGTTTATATTTTGTATGTTATGGAAGAGTTATTTTTAGGGACTTAAAACTTCTCAAAATTGTCTTCTTTCATTGAGAAATAGATTGCTACATCCTGTATAACTGAGGTCACAAAGAAATAATTTGATGAAATTAATAAAGAAACTTAATGTTCTCTAGGCAATTGTATGCTGCCAATGTGCTAAATCTTTGTCTGTTAACTTATTCAATTATTGTTTTATGAATCTTCTGCAAGACTATATCCAAATTGAATGTTTTGCCAATATCAATCCCCTACTGGTGGTTCTAACAAAGAATTCTCTTTCAGGGACTGGTCTTTTTCCTTAGGGAAGTAAATACAGCCAGTGATTTACTGATAAATCCACCCAGTATATACATCATTTCTGTCCCATATATCAATGTCATTGGCAACAGCTTGCTTTACTAAGTGATTCTGCAGTGTCTTCTCAAAGACTATTTTGTTCAGTAATCAGATCAAAGTGCCAACATGAATACTTTTTAGCATTGTATGAATTGTTTTTATCTTTAATAGCACAATTAGTTCTGAGACACTTTTGTGAAATGATTTCCACTGCTGAAATTTTAAGTAAACCAAATTGGTCTAATTCTTTAAAAAATGTTAGTTTGTGTATCACCCGTGTGTAATTGAGCATGGATTATTTGCTACACACTGTATTTAAAACTGAAATGTTATTCTTGTTTCCAATTAGGAGAATTTTCACATTTGCAGCTCTTCCTGGCTGACCAGTTTTTAATTTGATGTTAATTATCTAAACATTTTGGGAGACTAGACAGCCTCCTTGTTTCATGCTATTAAATGGCATTAAACATTCTCTCCAAACCTTGAAAATGGATCGTGAAACTAATGAGTGATAGCTTTGTGAAAATTTACATGGGGGTGAACAGAAAACCATAAAGGAAAAGGGCTTCTTTGATGATGACTGACAGATAGTGACAGAGCTTTCCATCTTGGTTTTAAAAAGGAGGTTTTACTGAGTGGGTAGTTCAGTTTAATATCTTTGTAAGTTGATCCTGGAAAGGACTTCAGGAAGACAATCAGAAGGACACAGATTTTTTTTTTGAAATGAAACATTAAGACAAAGAAAAGTTTTTTAAAATGGTACTTTAAAAACACGCTATTGATTTTCTTCATGTGTTTGTGATGCAGGCATTTTAGCATGTTCCGTTTCAAACTGGCTCTGTAGAAGTGTGTTGTGCTATGTACATAATCTTCAGTAAGAAATTCTACTTGCAGCATATTTTTCTTCAAAGGTTTTGCATTTCGCATAAAAAGCTTATTAATTATTTGTAGCTGCTTGTCATCGTGTTCTGATAATAGAAGTCTGGTCAAGGATAATAATTACCACTTCACCTTTTTGGATCATATATATCCACTATTCCTAGTGCAATATTACCCAAAGCATCTCTTCTCTCCCTGTACACAGGACCAAAAGTGCAGGCACATCATTTATTGATAAGACAAAAAGAATGTAATGAAATTATCAATGTTCTTGAATTAATTATGAACATGATTAAGAAAGCTAAAATCTCAGGAGCCAGGATCTCATTACCCATTCAGTCTTAGGGATTGCTTTCATTCAGCGAGGCAAAAAGGCTTTGAGCAGCCCCACAATTGCCTTTCTCTCATTTATTTGTGCTAGAATTAAGGTTTATTTGTTTTCTGTTTTCTTCTTCTTCAGATTGTTTCTCTGTCTTTATCCATTAACAAACTGTTTCCTCCTGTATCTCAGAAGGATGCACCTTCTAGGGCCTACCTCTCTGTCTGCAGTCTGCATACCTTCTTTTGAGTGCATTTCTCTCAACTCATTTTGCTGGAGCTCCTCAATATCTCTCAAGGTAAGTCTGAGAATGTAGCCAAAAAGTTTTCAGATTTATGTCTGCAGCTATACAGCAGTTCTGTCTGAATCCCATTCAGCTAGGAGTCTTAATGACATCATTATTACGCTGTCTGGACTGGGCTAGATTTTGCTTGGAGCCTTCACTATATTTTTACTTAACTTTCTGTGTGAACGTACAAACAATACTTGTTTAGGGTGGGGGAAATGATTCAAAACTAAGAGGGAAATACATTTTTTATTCAAATCAGGTTTCCAAGAGTAGTATAAATGATAAGCAAAAAGTAAGTCCATTTTAAATTTATATTTGGTGTACAGATATTCTGATCGCACTAGAATGCTTACCCTTTCATCCTTGATAGTATGACTGAATTGAGAAGCACAACGGCAATGTAATACCATGTTTGGGTTTATTTCTAAAATTTCAAATGTTCCTTTTTAAAAGCCATTCTGAATTTCTGGTATCATAATGTCCAATGCAGAGGAATATTAAATTGGTGTCTGTTAAAAGATGTCTTGGAATTGTCCTAATGGCACCTCAATGAAATGATGTTTTTTGTAAAATTAATCAATGGTAGTTTGGCAGCAAACTTTTCTGAATTGGATAATAGGTCATTTATAAACAAGGTTATTGGCAAAGCAGGTAAAATCCTGTCAGTATGCATTTAACAGGCAGATACAGAGTGATTAAAAAAATCATACAGTTGGATGTTATTTTGGTTTAAACATATTAATAAGGGGCACATATTCTTCCATAAGCAAATTTGGTATTGCAAAGAGAAGAGAGAAGAACTATAGCTTTAGGCCATTGAATAAATACAGTATATGTGATACTAAATCCATTGATCCTGCTTTTCTTTAAAGTGGTGATTTGATAAGATTGCTAAAACATCCAGGAATCTGAATTCATAAAATCACTGAAAATCCAAAGCATGATAGAGCAATAAGTGACAAAGTGACTTGATTATAGCACACAATACATAAAAATGATCATCTCTCTAATCTTAGGAACAACCTTGACATTTCATGATTTTTTAGAAAATGTGGTTAAAATAACACAAAGGGAGAAGGCTGTTTGACTTTTTCCACAAACCTATAGCCTGTGGACACAATATTTAGATAATTATGTATTTTACATAATTCTTTTTTCATATTAACTAAACATCCAAGACATTGAAATATACTGCTGGAATATGCTATGGTTTATGAACACAGTACTTTTAAATTTGGGGACACATTAGAGATTTCTGTCCTTGTATATGTTCTGCATTTTTGAATGCTATTAACTTAATAAGCAAATGGTTATTAGAGCTTACTAAAATCACAATTGCTAGGCATTGTTCTTATTAGTTCTTAAGTTAACTAAATTAATTAAGATAGGCAATTTAATTTGAAAGTGTTAAAAATGCAACGAGGCACAGAATCTTGTTTTCAGGCATCAAAGAAAAAAAGCAGTAAAGAAAATTTTCTCACTTTATGAACCGAGAATGTCAGGGAGAAAAAAGCATGTTTCTTAAGTAGAAGCTCCCTGTGCTTCATCTCATTCTGAGAAAATGGAAATACCTCTGAATTTCTTTTGATATTTCTTTCATACTTATCAAAAAGGGAAAAATGAATCATAAAATATCCTGCATGCCGTTTCTACATGAAAGGAATGAACAGAAGTCCCACGCGGCTCTCTCAAGGGGAAGCCCGTTATTGTGGTTCTCTAGGTGGTCGCCGGCACTTCAGCGATTGGACATGATCAGGCAAAACAGTTTGGAAGCTGAAAGACACAGACAGATAGCAGAGGCTGAGGTGAAGGAGAAGGAAGTGCATCACTAGCAGAAAAGTTGGTAAAGAGTACTTTTCCTATTAGTTTCTTAGTGTCTAAGTAGTAATATATTTCCAAACAACAAAATACAAAAAAATCAATTATGAGTGCTATAGTGGGCTAGATGTGACTAATTAATAAGCTGTTAATAAACTTTTAAAAAGTAGCATAAGTGAAAAGTATGTAAATGCTGATCTTAGAAAATCAAAAAGCATACTCCCATTTTACCAAGTAACTGTCAGAAGCATTGTGGTTTATGTGTTGTTGTTAATTTTTATTCTAGTAAAATGTAATGATAATTCCGTGTGTCATCACTAACTTCACAGAGTTCACAGAATTTGAAAACTAATAATTGTATATCAGTGGAGAAGACTGAATATTTATTCCATTTTTTGAAGGTAACGTCATGTGGAAAAAAGTAGGGATAGTATTTGAAATCATGCATAGCTGGTACTAGGATTTTTTTTCTTTTTGAGTTTATCTTTGACACTTTACACTTCTGATACTGAGTGAAAAGGTGAATGTATTCAAATCTAATTGATATGGAAATAAAACTTCAACTGAGAGTCAATATAAGTAATCTTAAATATTTAATATATGAATACTGCTTCATTCATCGTTTGAATGAGTTCTGAAATTCAGAAAGTGCTGAAATCCCCTATGCACATGGAGTTATACACATTCACAAAGACTTCTCTTTTAAAGAAGCAAGCCACAGTAGAAAAAGCATTAGCAGATGTTAGGAGATTTCATTTCTGTCAATTTCTACTTGTGACCTTGAATAAGTTATTGAACCTTTCAAAGCCTCTGTTTTCTCTCGGTAAATCTAGTGGAGCAAATTGATAATATTTAAGGCTCCTTCACACACTAAAATCTATTATTTTGCATCTATATTTGTATGTGTATATATATTCATTTGACTGTATAAGTAAGCCTGAAATCTGCCTTTAGCATTTATTTATCCAAGTGTTAAGATATTAGAGAACATTTTTCCTTTAGAACATGCAACTCTAATATTGTATGCCTGTATATCGCTGGGACTTTAACATCTGAAGTCTCTGCTAGCTTAATTCCTGAAATGCAGGGCTTAATTTGCTCTTGAACATTCCTCCATTCGCATTTATGCTGATCTGTGCCTCTAAACAGTGGGACTTTCCTTCCCAGCAAATATGTCTTTAACTAAATTCCCCTAGTGTAGAAAGAGCGAGTTGTTTCATCTTCACATTCCTCACAGCAAGTTGTTGGGTCTTTGCAAATTGCTAATAGGCTCATTAAGCCCCTGCTATGTACATCTACTGAATGAACGTGGAATTGATAATTGTTACTAAAACTGGATTTCAATTGTTGGTCAGTAGCCTCAATTCTACAATCTTTCAGAGCAGCAAGTTTTTAAAAAGATGCTTAGTATAGAAGATGAGAAGCAGTGTTTTGCAGTTTCTTGCACGTTAAGTTTCAGGACTGGCAGTTTGCAGAGAGAGTTTGAGGGTGCTCTGTGGCAGGGCTTAGATATGCTCTGAATGGATTAAGGAGAACTACCTGCTTGAGATTGATATAAATCAGTAATGGATCATCTCATAAAGCTGCTGTTACTAGATATTAGCCTGCTATCTCCGTCCTCTGATAGCACAGATAAGAAGTGCTTACCGCAGAGAAGGTTCCTAGAGGACAGATATTGTTTCCTGTACCTCAGGGAGTAAAAAGCCGTACTGCTGGATCAGTGACTTTTTCTAACAGCAAGTAAATTCAGGCCTTATCAAGTTACAGCACAAACTGCACTCATGTTTTATTATTCTCATTAGAGATTTAAGGACTAATTCCAGTTGTTAGCGCTTAGCAGTTTAATGTTTTCCATAGATAAGAATTAAGATTCTTCTGGGGGATTTTTTTATTTGCTAAAGCTTGCAAAATATAATGCGGTGATGCACTTACTGTGATGTAATGCGGTAGAGTTTCTAAATGTCCTGAGTGTTTTCAAGGCATACGTTTTAAAAATTTAAATCTAATGATGGAATTTTTCTGAGTTGAACCTGCAGTCATTTCACTGAAACATGACTTTCTTTGTCTGGGATCCCAAATCAGCTCTCCCTCTGGAAAGAGTACCAAAGAGGCTGAACTTGACGCTTCCAAAGCTTGTCTTTACTGCTGTGTATTTTCTCAAAGTAAACTCACTTAATGGAGACTAGTAGGGTCTGATTCAAAAGAAAACCTTGAACAAGACCTATTCTGTAAGTAAACTGGGATTTAAATTACTTCCTTGAAGTGAAACTGACTTTCCTTTCCCAACCAGGTGGAGAAAAGCTCTGACTGTCATGTTCATTCTGTTTCTGTTTCAAAGAGGTTACAAAGTTTGAATTTACAAGTAAAAATCCAGGCTCCTGTGAGCTTGGATACCAACATTGAATCAATGCTTTAATGACTTTCCAGTAATGGGAATCTGCTGTTGCCCCAAGTTACCCTTCCTAATGTTCTCGAAGGGGGAAAAAATCATTTATGAATACAAAAGTTTACTCTAAGTTGCAATGTGATAACATTATTACTGGAATTAAAGCTCAATGATTAATGACATATTTTTGGTCATGTTTATTGAAATTCTTTTTGTATAGACTCTACCATGAAAAGCTTTATTTCCATCCCCCTTGTTTCCTTGGGTTTGTCTAAAGATCTTTCGTTACATGTAGTACGTGGCTGTGTGGTATTTAAGAGGTGGCTGAATTTCAATAACGTAAGTCACAGACACTATAGTCGTCAAGTTTGGGGATCAGGTCATTTAAAAGAAAATGTGGTACATATAAATAAAACTTGCTGTCATTATGAGATATGCATTGGCTAACCCACTTTGATATCCATTTTTGGAAAACCATTTTCCTAAGGTAAAACAGTTCTAGCATCAATGACAGAAGAATGGTGTACTTTGTGGCAGTTCAGGAATCCTGGGTATACTTAGCAGGTAGGAGTCATCATGTAGTAACAATAATAAGAATAGCAGTGATCATTTCTTGTGTGCTAGATGCTGTGATAGATGTTTTAAATGCCTGATTTTATATATCGATCATTTTCAAAGAAATTCTCATAGTGTCAAATTTACCTTTTTAATTTTTTTTTTTAAGACAGGGGAACCTCTCCTGGCTCATGTTTCAATTATTCCTGGCTTCATAGGCTTTGTGCCTGTTTGTGCCCCAGATTGTTTTCCCTTTTTGGCCAGTAATACTCTATCTGCCTGAAAAATGTAACATGCTTGTTCCAGTTACGTTACTGGGTGCAATCCTCCCTTATACAGGAAATAAATTTATTATGAAGAACTCGCAGTAGAAGCCTTGGAAAACTTACACAGAGCTGTGCTGTGTCCAAAATGCTGTTCAGTAGGTTTTCCAAAGCACCCAGGTAACAGCTGGTGCAGGCCATGTGCCAGCTCTGACAGCCCATATGCTCTCTTTAGTGCAGTAATTATCTCAACACAAAACTCTGATAGCCTAGTCTACTGGGTCCAGTTTCCCTAGGTTAAATTGACTCAGTGGCTTTGTTAGTAAGTTCCTTTGGCACGGTAAGAACTTCATCAAGAGTTTAAGTATTGGGATAGGCTTCAAAGACCAATATGACTGCTACTTTCAAGACAGGTGGCTTATTAACCCTAAGAGATTCTAGGTGGCAGTTCATTAGGCTATCACCCCACAGCAGCAATCTAGTTAAAGTTCTGCAGTTGTTTCTACCAGATATCCAGCTTAGGGGTGGTGGTAATGCATCTATTTTGGTCACAGGCTAAGAGTAATTTTGGTATTTCAGTTCTCAGGCAGATACCAGGACTTCTGTATTTCAGTGGTACTGTTGACAGTGGAAGAGTTGGAGTGAGAAATTTTAAGAGAGAAGAGTCGAAAAAAAAAAAAGCTGAGCTGGGTCAAAATGTGTATAGCTGTTCTTATTTAGAGTATCACAGAGAAAACTTTTTTTAAAATGTCCCCATGGCCCCTGAGATGTTAACAATACATCTCTGTGTACAAAATTCACTTGTTGGAGGCTTGAAGTCCGTATTCATAATCTCCTTTTTTCCTTCTGTCCTCCCTCCCTCCCAACTTCCCTTCCCTTCTTCTTTCTTCTTTCCTTTCTCCCCTCCTTTCCTTTTCCTATTTTGTTTCCACTTTTCTTTCTCCCTTCTTTTTTATTTTTTACTTCTGAGAAATACAAACATTCCAAGGACCAGCTGCAATAAAACCATAGATGCAATCCTGCAATTTTAGTACAGACAAAGCTTCTCATAAATTGAGTAGCAATAATCTTGAAAGATATTGCTGGTATGGAATCATAGAATTGAGCCATAGACGTTTGAAACTAAACAAAGGTGATAGGATATGATCACTTCAGCTTCTTTCTGTCCTCTGTTCTCATGGAATTTAGTGGAGACCTTGAATGATGACTGTGTTTGTCCTGACATGATTTATGTCAGGCACAAGTTTAAACCTCACTTCTGGTCTGTTTATAAGATGATACTGGGCTTGTAATCTTAACGAGAGGGTTGAGTAGCTAGATCTTTTGGCCAATATCAGCCTTCCCTGTACTGAGATCATCTGCTGAGATTTATGGGAGCAACATAAATGGCTGCTTCTCCACTGGATCTTTTGTGGGGAATAGTTTCAGATACCCCGAGAAGAGAGATGATGTTCTGTCCCATGTTAATCAGCAAGTGGTATAGAGTAATTAGATTATCTTATTACTGAACATAAAGATGGATTCAAGAAAGTGCTTTCTGCTTTGTCAGTATAGCTTTAGTTTTAGAGTTAAAATGGAATTCTGAGGTAGAGAGAAATGCAACAGAACAAGTGGAATGTAAGTTCCAAGAGGAAGTGGTTATGTTTCATAATTCTATGGCATCTGATTTATTTCATCTTTCATCCCATACAGGCTAATCTGGTTCAGGCCAAACCTTGCCAGTATTTCTCACTCCTGTCACTTTAGAGTAGTGCCTGGCATGTAGTCGATACCAGTAAATATTTGCTGGTTGAATACATAAATGGATGGATGTGGGCTCTTTTTTTTTAGTGGAGATGACTCCAGCTATAAAGGGAAGTGTATAATCTGGAGTAGGTTGTTGGGATGGAGGACAGTGTGGTCCTGAGTGTTGGACTATCCATGTAGGCGAGAAGATCTGTTGTTGATAATTTCTGGTTTAAATGATCCCGGGGATATCCAAAGGGCTCAGGATATCCAAAGCCCTTTACAGTGACCAAGGTCTAGGGGTAGGGAGGTGACCAGAACTGGTTTATTTCAAGTCAGACTCTAGGTTGAAATGGATTCACTAGTAATATAATCTCATTGCATTATTGTGTTTTCAATTTAATAAAGCAAATTATAACCACAAAGAGCTCCTATAGAAAACGAAATCAGCTAGTTCATAAAAACCCATACACGGACTCTTGTTATTTAGTTTTCAACCACAGGTAGTTATACTTCTAAAGTCATTATTTATATGTTGTCAGGAGTACTCACCAAATTTATTGACTTGTACATTATTCTTTGCAAATAATTTCTGGCTGCTCTCCGCATATTATAATTAAAACGACAGGGACTTTAATCATTTATGAAATTTTAAACTACATACTGAATATAAATGTATCATTCAATGTGATAGAATGAATTAAATTCATCACTGTCAAATAACTGTATAAAAGATGAAATATCTCTCATCTCACATCATTAACTTATTAAAAAAAAAAGACCCAGATCTGAAAGCATTGTTATAGTACTTTTATGGTATTTTAAGGACACTTTGAAAACTAAGACATTTAGCATATACAAGAAAAATGCTTTTGACCAAAAAGTTGATTTCTAATTTTATCTGTAAAATCCCTAATTTGAATTTGATGATAAACAACTTTTACTTAGACAAAATCAAATAATCAAGATTAAAACACTTCTAAATGAACATAAAACTTTTAAAAATCATCATGATATAAATATGTGTACAGATAAAATAGAGTTTTGTCAATCCAAATCATGAAGGCAAAAATTTTTTCTGTAGATCGAAAGGGTGATTTGGGATAGAAAGGTAATTTAAATATTTATCTGGAGCAGGTAAGTAGCTGATGTGTGATCATTTCTCACTCTGTGCATGCCCAGACACAGTGTTAACACCTAGAGTTCCAAGGAAATCAAAATACATTTGGGAAACTATAATTCTGAACATTATTTTCATTTTCTAGTTTGTTATAATCAAATTACTATCTTCTGTTAATATCTATACTTGATAAATAACATAGAATTAAACTCAAAATAAATTTTACCAATTTTACATCAAAACTCTTCAAATGTGAAAAACTTATTATTTATTGATTATATTAGGAAAATATGTGCTATAGGCCTCTTTTTTTTTTTTTAGTCCTTCCCTAAATCTTCTGAGTCTTTCCGAGTTTCAATGATTTCACCCATGTTTCTTGATATTCATCTGTTCTTGGGCAGGACGTTTATTCACTCATTCACTGAACAAACTTTTATTGAGCCAGGTAGGGAGTGGGGAAAGTGGGGGCTTGGTTTGGAATGACATGAGAAGCTGAGTACCCACAAGGACTTAAATGGGGGCTACACAGTCTTGATAAAACCTGAAGTAGGCAGTGTTTTTATAAACTTATGAGTTCTAATTTGGGGGGAAAGTATAAATGAAGCCACTTACAACCATCTTACCATATCTCAATTTGTTTAATCCAGTTCATGGTCACACAACTTTATGCAATTTTTCCAAACAAATGTAAGGAAACATGACATGAATGGAAAGGAATAGGCTGTTGTGTTCTGGGATACACATGTATTTTCATAGAAATGAAATTAGGAAGAAAATCTCAAGCACAGGCAATATATGTTACTGTGGAAACCCAATCCATGAGTTTTCAAAATGATCAACATTATAATCAGTGATATAATTTTATCTTGTCAAGAGTTTTAGATTGCTTATTTTGGTAGTGTAGATAATGGTATCAAATTCCTCCTTGTCTCTGTCTTCTTGAGTTCTTGTCACATAACATCAAAAAACAAGAAAAACAATGCAATTTAGAACCTTATATATTGTTATATTTGCTACATGGTATCTGATTGCCCTGTAATTATCTGAAAAATAAATTTTTAAAGTAAGAATTATTTTGGGTGGAAGAGCAGAGTGAGGAAGTATGTATAAGACTTGGGGATGTATAGCAAAAACACATATTACCATTGATTAACATGCCCTGTCCTGAAATAGCTTGTTAAAACCTGACTATCAACCAGTATAGCTTGGTTTTCATCTTATGAAATTAACTTTACCTCTATTTTAATTAGCAAGTTTGAATAACAACAACACTACCAAAATGTAAAATTAAAAAGAAAACACATGCACATAAAAATCTGGAAATTGGAATCAATAAAGAAATATTTTAAATTTAAAAAATTTGTTATAAAAAGTATTTCTATGGTAGTAGCAATATTTTTTCCCCCAACACATGGGTTTCTATCTGTGACATGTATTCCATATACATTTTCCTTGCTTTTAAAATTGGCATTACTGCTTCCTTTGTACTTTTTCTTGTTTATACTTTTTTTCAGTGTGTGTGTTTTCACAAAGCAGTGCTTCCTCATTAGCCTGCTTTAGGAACTTATAATGGACAAGTTTTCATACTTACCTGATTGTTAAGCACCTGATGTGAAAATCATCAGTCTGTTTGAAGGCAAGAAGCCCTGCTGAAATGCTTTCCCAAGATTTCTAACAAGGCACAGCTACATTATAGACCTGTAACTGTATACGGTGGTAGTTGGTATGAAGTAACAAAGCATGGCTCGGGGTAAAAAGACACGTGCAATTTAAGCAACCATTTCTAATAGCTTTATAATAAAATCTCTTCATATTGAGAGATTTTATTAGGTTTGAAATATAATTTTCACAAAGTTGCCACAGAATCAGAGTAAAGTACATTCTAAACCCTTTACATTCTGTTCCCCGTGCTTCTCAGTATTGTTTCAGAATAGAAGGTGAAACTGTATTCCTTGGTGTGCAGTTTAAAGTCAAAAGCAGCAATATTTAGCACATGCTTGGGCAACCTTGTTTGAAATCCATGCCGCCCCTCTCTGGTGTTCTGATGTGCCTTTAGGGGATGCTTGCCTGTTTGTAGTTTGTTTTCTTTTGTTTAAGGTTTCAGCTACTGCATTGACTAATGATTATATAGCAGTAAACTCTCATCCCTGCTAAATTCAGTAGTGATGCCTCAAAAGCATTTTTCCCTTGTGTGACATAAAACAATAAAAGAACTAGACAAGCCCCTTTTGAGGAAGAATAATCCTTTGTTTAAAGAAAAGAAAGAAAAGGCATTTCCTTGACGCCAGAGGGTGGAGAATTCAAATCAAAGGCTTAGCTAATTGATAAAAAATAAAACAAGTGTTAATCTGACAATTTTTTTGTACTCAGTTACTATTTGTGGAAAACTGTTAATATAATATTTTATCTATCCATACCTCTTTAGTGATACCAACTACACAATATATATTTAATACATAATTACTTGATTGACACCTGCACTTGGATATAATATCTAAATAATACATCTGTTTCTTCAGAATGCTGTTACCAGCATAATTTATCAGCAGAATTTTGGTCAGACAGTTATATTTTACATTGATGATAAGTATATCATTTTCCCCTGCATTTGTTCTTTAATACAAATTAAAATAGTTTATTTTGAAATATAACATACATTAGAAATTTGACTTAAAAAAGCAACCAATAGATTTACATAATGCATTTGCTTAGCCTTTAGATTTACCAATGCCAAGTCCGAAGAATTTGAACATGCCATTTAATTGTTCTCCCTGCAATTTTCTTAATGAGACTTGTGGCCATGATTCCAAGTGATAAATTCTTCTTGATTTGCCTCCAGTTGTCACTGGCCAAACCTTAGGGAATGAAAGATTAGTTACGGTTTCAAAAGACTTATTATTTTAAACTGGAGAATTTTTAATGTTCTTAACCCAATTAAACAGAAAGTGAAGAATCTATCAATATTGTTGTCAGTTTATTAGAGGAAAAAAATCACCCAAATTTTAATTTAGCTGTAAACAATGTTCAATTTCTGCCTTTAAATTAGAATAGAATAAGATTGTATTAAATTTGAGTTGACTCTGGTGCCTAAATGTCGCATCCCTAACAGGAAAATTGCCTTGTGATTTAAACAAAGATTTCAATCGATGAGCAGGGTTTCGGGGCTCATCCAATTTTTAATGGCATTTGTCTTTTATCACTCAAGTCCTTGAATAATGTAAGTAAGCTGTACAACACTTTGCATATGCTTGGTCCTGTGATGAGACTAATATGTGTATCCATAACTTAATTTTTTTAACCTCCAATTTTAAAACTCCAAGGGGAAAAAAAAGTTTTCTTGTTAAGTTTAAGTAATGGATCTAAGAGACCACTTTCAGGCCACAAAATAGTCCAAGTTGGCCCCAAACACAGGTGCTCCCAGTTTGAACATTGTGCCTGGCTTTTCTGCAGAGAAACTAAATGAAAGAGCAACTTCAAACACAGGTGCAAAATCCCGCATCTGTGAGGGACAGCCCGAAACCATGGCTTTCCCCTGACCGTTTTCGGCTTGTAAACCTCATCCTCCATGGAGCACCTGTGTCAGAACCAATCAGGGCTGTGTATAAATGTTATCAACACCTACACATCATTACTTATTCATCAACATCAGCACCAAATATTGATGCAAACATGGAAGGGTGTTTTTTTGTTTTTGTTTTTTCCTATGGAGCTGCTCTTGTCTGGAGCTTCAGTCCTTTTGCCTGATGGCTGACGGGAAGAAGTAAAATACACAGATAAGAACATTCAGAATATTTCAGGCTCTAAGTCTGACGATCGTTTGTGTTTGTGTCACTTTTTAATCTTTGCATCTAGTTCCTTCGGTGGGAAAAAATGGAGAGCACACAAAAGGTTCAGACACATTGATTGCCGAAAGGCCTACTTGCAGTAATTCCATACTTTGTGGCGTACTTTCGTGCAGCCACCTCCTCCGTGGTCATCTGTTGCCTTCTTGCTGTTTGATTAGCACTCAAAGAACCTACATTTGAAGCTGTATAAGATTTTATTTTTCAACATCAGTAACAAGCAGCAGAAGCAGCAGGATCTGGCTTTCTGGCAAACTCCACAGGCATTTGGGTTGGTGGCTTTGTATTTGCCTCTGGGCCTTTCCTGCACAGGGCTGAGGAGGGGCTACCAGGCTGTTAGAAGCTTTGGAAACCATTTCTTCTTTGACAATTTAAATTTATGTGGTTTTTAATTGTCTGTAAACAAAGCCTTTTACATCTAGCACTAAATCTCCATCCGAGGTCAGCTGGCATCCAAAGGGATGGTTGCTGATTTAGTTTGTCTTGTCTGCTTTTCTTTCCTAAAAAAAAAAAAAAATAAACCCTCTCAATCAGTTTATTGTTCTCCAATAGAGATACACAAAACACACAAATCACTTGGCCCCTCCCCCCCACTTTGAATGAACAGATAAAAATCCATCTGTTTTTTTATCTGCATGTTTCAAAGGCCAAATCTGTGTCCTTTGTAAAAAATGGCCTCAGCAATACAATGTCCTAGCAAGCAGCTAGGAAAATTGACCAATACTTGGGTCAGCGATGGTTGTAGTTGGGAAACTTCCAGTATAGTTTTGGTTCTAAATGGTCATTAGATCTAGATTATTTAGGCTGTGAATAATTAAGAGATAAAAATGTGTACAATACATATGTATTGGTTATTCTGGTTCACAGTTAAACTATTAATTACATGAGTTTCTAAATAAAAATATTTAAAAATTGGGAAAAAGAGTAGAGTCGTGCAAATGTTTGGTTTCCTATAGATTGTCACACAACTGACTACAGTCTTTCAAAAACATAATTTAAGACACATACAGATAAACGTCTGGCTGTGGGTCCCCGGCTCCTGTGAGCTCCAGAAAACCTCGGACACACTTCCTGTTTGCGCATGTTGAGCTCTGGCTGGGGCGCTCCTCTCCTGCCTGTCTCCTACGTGCAGAGTCAGTGCGGTAGTTCTCCCATTTCTCTAAGAGCCTGCTCTCTCTGTCTCTGGCATAAGTGAGAGGAAAAAAAAAAAGACCATTACAAATGAGGAGAGACATAGAGCTCTTAGGCAAAAGGGAATATAGAACCCACAGAGTTTAAATAAAAGCTGTCACTGCTGAGTGAACTGAAGGCTCCAACTCTGGCACGGGATCGCTTTTTAAAGAAGCCCTGGCTCAGTGAGGGAGAAATAGGAGCTTTCGAATACTTATTTGTTTCCTACAAGCCCTCTATTTCTGCTTTGAAAAAGAACCAGAAAGCCAAAAAGAAATACTTTGGGTTTCTTTTTCTAAATATCTGTCTATATGAGTTATCGCATATGGAAGATTGATTTTATTTTTTCCAAGTCTATTTTCAATTCACAGTGATGCTAGGTAAAACAGAACCTGCCTATGTTTTTAGAAGACAGTGAATTGGTTCCCTACTTTGCCAGTTATAAAGCCTTGGACAAATTATTTAATGTTTAGGTCCCTTTTTCTCATTTGCAAAATGGGAATAATCATGTCTACCATGAGGGGATGAAATATAAACTAAGATAATTTGAAAAACATTTTTTTTACATTCCCTAACACATAGTTACACCAAAAATATTGTTGGCCAAGGAACAATTCAAAAACAAAACAGTAGGAAGGAAAAAAAAAGGAAAAAGAAATTAAAACGCTCAAGTAAATAAGAAGAATATTCTGAGAGGGAGCCTCAAAAATATAAAATTATGGGAATCAAGTTAAGATTAGAAAAAGTCAGGGACTAAAATAAAAACTGCATGTCATGCCATTGCAGGTTTAGATAAAGTGAATGAAATTTGGTGTTTTAAAAATAGTTTCTGGTCAGAGGCAGTGGCTCACACCTGTAACCCCAGCATTTTGAGAGGCCAAGGTGAAAAGATTGCTTGAGGCCAGGAGTTTGAGAACAGCCTGGGCAACAAAGGGACACCCCTGTCTCTACAAAAATTGAGAAAGTGAAAAAAAAAATTAGCCAAACATGGTGGTGCATGGCATGCACCTGTAGTCCCAGCTACTCAGGAGGCTAAGGCAGGAGGATCACATGAGCCTAGGAATTTGAAGCTGCTGTGAGCTATGATTGTGCTATTGCACTCCAGCCTGGGTGACAGAGTGAGACACCCCATCTCTAAATGAATAAATAAAGCTCATTATGGAGAACAGATGCTTGAAACGAAATAGAGAAATTGCCCTCCTGATGAAGGGATGAAGAAGTTTGAAGCATGAAAATTGTAGTAAACACAAGCTAAAAGGTTGAGCAGCTCTGGTCATCCTGAAGACAGGGGGCTGCAGTTTCTACCAGTGTGGCTGTCACAGTGTCTTTGGGGAGGGCCTATGTCTCCTCCACAGATTCTTGCCATCTGTCAGTCATCCTTGTTGGTTCTTGAAAAGCTCCATTTTGTGAGTTTAGATCCAAATCAAGCAAGTCAGGGGCTCAGCTAACTTTGAGTTCATGGACTTTAGTTGAACTGATCAGCAGCAAATTCATTCTAGCTAAAATTTCAAGTTCATTCAGAATGAAAATACTGGGAAACAGTTTCCTACCTCTTTATCGTAGGATCTCAGTACAAGTTTGTTTATTCATTCATTTGTTTATTCAGTCAATTATTATTGGGTGTCGACTGAGTGACAGACTCTGTGCTAGATTCTGGGAATGAAACAACTAACTACAGAAGAATGTTCCCTGTCTTCTAAAGGGTACAGTTATTTTAGGTAGTCTCACCCAACCCTCCCAGCATCCCTACACAGTTGTTTTTGGGGCCCTTCCCTACTGATCAACATGCTCCCAGCTGCCTTTGCACAAGGCTGCAGCATACTAAAGTCACCCAGGGATTCTCTTAGAATGCTTGCTAAGTTTAAATATATACACTATGTCGAGATCCTCTGAGCAACTATTAATAGCTGTATCAGGTCCAATGGGGTTAATCTGAGATCTAACATCAAACGGGGGAATAACATATCAAAACTAAAGTTCAAACTATAGATAATAAAGATGAAATAAGTTAGTGGATGGATTGAATGGCAAGTGGAACATGAAACATACATTTTGGATTCTTGATCACTCTCTTCTTTGATTATGACTCTTCCTTTCTGGCTTCACCTCATTCTAGTCTGTTAGGGATAATAAATAGCTAATATTTAATGGTGGTTTTTTATGTGCCAGACACTATGCTAAATTTATCTCATATAATTCTCACCTCAAAGAGATGGATATTATCACTATTTTTTTCCGATAAGAAAACTGAGGCACAGAGAGGTTAAGCAAATCCTCTAAGAGCATTTAACAGTGGAAAAATTGTGGGGCTACAATTCATATGCATGAGTTTTTTCAGAGCTGACATTCTCAACTCTATATTTTGTCTCCTTCAACCATCCTGCCTCTCTTTCTTTGACTAGATTTAATAGGCAAATTGATTTTTATCTTTTGTGTTCTCTATCTGGGATTCTTTCTGTCTTTTGGTTTTTCTTCAGAAAATTTCAAGCAAACAAAAGTAAAAGAATGGTATAACAAACCCTGTATATGCATCAATCTTAAATTCTCTTTACTTTCACCTGATCAATCATAGTTACCTCACAGATAAACCCTACATTTCTATCTGCCTGCTGATCTGATTATTTGATTGTGGCATTCTTGATATTTTTAATGTACTCCAACAACCACTGTGGTTCAGAAGGACTGATCTAAGGATTTTTCTATGATGCTTTACCTCTAAGCCCTAAATTATCAATCATATAATTCTAGGGCTTCCCATCTGCTTAAATCTGTAGTGCAATATACAGACAGATCAGCATGTTAATTGCAAAAGGCAGACTCTTAATGAATGCTTTTTAATGAATTAATTAAACGGTGAAGTACTTAAAAAATTGTGACATAGAATAAAGAAGACATAGGCATGCTCTTAATTTTTGTAGTGAGGATAAAAGAGTTTGCACTTTTTCTTTCATGCACCAGGGGATTTTCTAAAGAATTTTTCTCATCTTAGGGAAAGATAAAGTTGTCCATAACCTGTTCCTATAGAATAAGACTCCCAAGAAGAGGATTTTTCATGGCAGCATTGGTTAAACTGTTGATAAGGAAGGATTGGGAAGGGTTCTACTAGACTTAGATTTAGGAGGGATAAAATACTGATGGGAAATAGCATGAGTAAAATTATACAGCAGGCATGAACTTGCAAAAGCATTTCCTTTGAAGTAGCCATCTCTTTCATGTTGTGTTGGTTGCTGTCTGAAGTTTGATCCTTCCTTCCTTCCTTCCTTCCTTCCTTCCTTCCTTCCTTCCTTCCTTCCTTCCTTCCTTCCCTCCTCTGAAGAGAATTTTCAGTTCTCTTCAGACTCTATACATTAACCTTGGAAATCCCACTCACTCTGATGGACTAAATTAACCAATATATGAGACGATTCTTAAATGTCTAATTCCAGCCCTACCTTTTTCTTATCTCCAGACACATTAATTCAGCTGCCTTTTGGAAATTGCCACTTAGATGTCCTCACAGTTTCCTCAAACCTAGGATGTCTGAAATAGAATTCATCGTCTTCCCATTAACCACTCCTCCTTCCATTTTTCCTACTGTACAAGATGACATGCCCCAATTGCCTAAGCCAAAAACCTGGACTCCTCATTGTCTTTTCCTCTCCGTTTGCCATTAATCACCGTGTCCTGTTGAATCAGCTTTCTAAATATATCTCCAATCTGTCACCTCTCTTCATCCTCACTACCACATACCAGGCCTCTGTCATCACTGGACTAGAGTACTGTTAGAGTTTTCTAATGACATCTTTCTCTAGTCTTGCTTCCCTCCACTTCTTCTTCCTCCTTCCCACCAAAGTGTTACTCTAAAATGCAAATCTGCCTGTATATGGCCAGCTTAAAACTCTTCAAGTAGTCCACATTAACAAACTCTAAACTTTTCAGCTTAGCAAACCACTCTAAGACCTTCTTCCTGTATGTTTCCTTGCATCCTGGATTTCAGACATATTGATCTGTTTGTAGCTCCCAGCACACATAGATGATTCCTCAGCTTTGTGCTTTTGCTCTTAATCTTCCTTCTAAAATGAAGCCTTTAGCTTTTCTCCTTCTTCATACCCCTACCAATGACAGTCTACTTACCCTTCAAGATGTTCCAGTCTCAGCTCAAGGGGTCCTTCCTCTGTAAAGCCTTTCCTGAACCACTCTAGTAATTTCTACCGTGAAATTTGGTCATTTCAAGGGTAGAATTGAACGTGTGCTCTACTGTGTTCATTAGAACCTAAAACACATATAACTTTTATTTTGCTGACATTTTAATATATCCATAGCTATTTATGAAGAGTGTTTTGTTTCTTCTACACCCAGCACCATTTCTGGCATAGAGTATACTAAAAATATTTCGGTTGTTTGCTTGATTGACAGATTGAATAAATGTGTACTCCTGAATAATTTTCTGTTATTATCATGAATATGTTCTTATATTTTGTTTCCTTTTCATTATTAGAAGTCTTTCCTATGTCTTTACTACTAAATGCTGTTATGGAATTAACAATTTATATAGAATTATTATCTTGTTTTAGGTTGCTTCCTATTCTTTCTAATCACTGCTCCCCCACCCAAGATTTATTTACTTCAATTTGTTTACATAGATAATGCCTTAAAAAGTTAGAATTTAAATCTTTAAAACAATTTCTACAATACCTTTTAAAGTAATACTTACAGTTTTTGTTATTATCATCTTTAAAATATCTTCTTTCATCTTATTTAGACACCATTACCTCTTTCTAATTACAATAAATTTCTGGAGAGAGTCAACCTCTTATCACTTCTAATTTGGTAATTTCACTTGGTTCCTTTGGGCACTGTTATTAGAAATTGATATGAGATGAGATTTGGTAGATTTGATTGCTTACTTCAAGATGGAATCTTCTTTACTCTTTCCGTTGGAAATTTTATTCAGAATGTATTGAGAGCTGAAGGTTTTCTGGGCTCTTACTAGGCAGGAGTACGAGATGAGTAAGCAGAGCTGCTTACCTGAAGGAGTTTATAATACTGAAGGAAGAGAAGACAGTTATACGGAGAGCTGTAACACTGAGATGGGATAAATGCTAAGAGAAAAAGATGAAGTGCTGTAGGAGGAGAGAACAGAGACTTATTTCCAGTAAGGAGATCGAAGGAAAGCTTCATAGAAGAAGGGAGCTTTGAAAATTGACTAGGATATCAACAGGTGATGATTGGGAGAGGACGTTACACACTGGAAAATAAGGGTGTTTGGTTGAGGTGGAGAAAATATATAAGGTATGGAGAACAGGGGTACAGAGCATCCAGAGGGTGGGGTGGCAGTCCTACAGGATGGTGAAAACTGGAATGATGGCCATATTAAGGAAGCCCTTGAATGCCTCACCATCAACCGAGGCCCACTGGGGGCTTTTGAATAGGGCAGTGAACCTTCTTTCCTTTTGCTATTATCTACCTACAGCAGCTTATCATGTTCCCCTTATCTTTCATGCTCTGCATTTGCAAAGAAATTGCCAGGCTATCGCTTCTCTTTAAAGACCTTCTTCTCTAACCACACTAAGTTATGCTATTTTTTTTCCTTACTCAATCTTTTGACACAATGTTTTGCTATTCAAACTTCAGCCACACTTTGTTGTTGTTGTTGCTTTTGGGACACTGTTACTAGGAACTAGCTGATTTGGAGTAAAGATTGTTCTGCAAGTATATTCACTGTAAGAAAGGATTCTTATCAAAACTTTCTAGCTTGCTACATGTCATTTAATTTAAATATTATAATCTCTACTTAATATCTGTTGTGTCATATGAATGATGCCCACCAAGAAATGTTCTCTTGGGAATGTCATCTTGCTTCTTTTATCTTACTCTTTTTAAATTCAAAGATTTAGATTTCATTCACTTTTGGGATGGTGCAGTACAAGTCCTGTCAGACATATATATCACAACTCTTTCCTCCCGGTTTATGTCTTGCTGTTTCATTTATCTTGAAGGAGGTATTTTCTAAGCTGCTTTATTCAGACATGATCTATATACCATAACTTCATCCATTTCAATTGTCCAATTTAGTAGACTTTAGTATACTTTCAGAGTTGTATAACTATCATAATATAATTTTGGAGTATTTACATTTCTCTAAAAAAGACATTTTGTACCTAATTACAGTTATTTCCTGTTTTTTCCTCCCAGTCCTAGGCAACCACTAATCTACTTAGTTTCTCTTATTATTTGCTTTTTTGGACACTTTATATAAGGAATTATACAATATGTGTTCTTCTGTGTGTGTGTTTCAGTTAGTATAATGTTTTTGAGGGTTATCCAGCTGTAATATCTGTCAGTACTTTCCTTTTTTATTGCTGATAAAATTCATTATATGGATATAACACATTTTGTTTATCTGTCAGCAGATGGACATTTGGGTCATTTCCATTTTTTGGCTATTGTGAATAATACGGCTATCAATACTTGCGTACAAGGTTTTGTGTGGACATATTTTCATTTATTTTGAGTAGATTCCTAAGAGTGAGATTTTTAGGTGGTATGATAAATTTATATTTGACCCTTTAAGAATGTGCCAAAATGTTCTCCAAAGTAGCTGCACCATCTTAGATTCCTGAGATAAGTATTTGAGGGCTCTAGTTTCTCTGCATTCTTGTCAATACTTGTTATTGTCTGTCCTTTTGATTATAGCCATTTTAATTAGTGTGATGCTATCTTATTGTGATTTTGATTTATATTTCCCTAATGATTAATGATGTGGAGAATTTTTTCATATGCTTTTGGTCATTTGTATATTCTCTGAATAAATGCTAATTCGGATGCTTTGACCATTTTTAATTGACTTATGTGTCCTTTTGAGATGGAAGAGTTTTATGTACGTTCTAGATACGAATCCTTTATCAGATATGTGCTTTGCAAACATTCTCCCACATTCTGTGGGTTATTTTCTCACTCTTGATAATGTCTTTTGAAATACAAATTTTAAAAATTTTGACAAAAGTTAACCTGTTCATTTTTTTCTTTTATTGCTGTGCTTTCAGAGTTCACCCACTTTTTCTGAGGTGTGGGTCAGATTAACTTACGAAAACTCTATTTCCTATGTTTATGATTATATAACAAATGGAGGCCTCTATCACCTTAATTGCAAGGTGATTGGGCCTGCTTACCCTGAAGCATCAGTTGATCTACTGTGGATATCCTGAAATCACAACAGTGAATTAGAAATTACTTTCAGCTTTGGGGATTCACCACCTTCATAAACTTCTACTTCTTCCTCTTGCTATCCTGCTCTTATCCTTGAAGTAGTAAGCACTCTGTCCTGAGAGATTCAGAACATAACATCTGCTTGCCTCCTGAGGGATCTAGGTCAGATAATCATTTGTTAAAACGTGTCCTGTGCTTTGTAGGATGTTTGGCAACATCTGTGGTCTCTACCAATGCATGTATTGTGTTCTCCTGGCTGTAACAACCTAAAATGTATCAGTCGGTGCAAATGTTCAGGGAAGTGGGGCTGGAGGCAGAGAGAAAGCGGGGAGGGAGGAAATCACCACCTACTGAGAACTACTGCTTTTGTCATACACAGTATGTTCAAAGATAATCCATGAGCCTGGTATTGTTGCAAACAGACTATTCCGAACCTGCTCTCCTTGACTTTGTCCAGGTCTCCAGAACTCAAAGCAGCAGAATTAAGTTATAAAAGAGTTTGGACTGGGAGCCAGAAGACCTGGATTCTACTCTTGAATCTGCATCTTACTTGCTTGCTTTGACCAAATTACTTAATCTTACTGTAATTTAACTTTCTCATTGAGAAAATGAAGTTTTGGATGTCAACTATTTCTCCTTTAAAGCAATGGTTCTCAGTAGGGGATGATTTCCTCCCTCCCCACTTTCTCTCCCCCTCCACCCCCACTTCCCTGAACATTTGCACCATCTGATATATTTTAGGTTGTTATAGCAAAGAGAACACCAATACATGTAGTGGTAGAGACCAGCGATGTTACTAAATATCCTACAAAGCACAGGACAGGTTTTAACAACAAATGATTATCTGGCCCCAGTTGTTAAAAGTGTTGAGCTTGAGAAATCCTATTTTAGAGTATAATTTTTATTACCGTTTTGTTAGAAAATTTTCCTATCTTGTTTTATCCAAGTACTTCCTTTCTTTCAAAGTTCAGCTGTACAGTGGGGCCTTCTTTGTCCTTCCTAATTAATAATAGTTATTTTTTAAATTTTCTGAATTCCTATGGCACTTGTTATTATCCTATTAATAAGTATAGTGTAATATATATTACACTATGTAATGTAGTATAGTAAAAAAACTATAAAAATGTTTTAAACCATAAAAAGTATATGTTTATAGGCTAATCAATTAAATATCATAATTTATAAGATTTTCACTTGTGTCATCAAAGTAATTGTGGACATTATGAACTTTCTTTATCTCAGCTGGTCTCTTGAGGTACCTGCATCCCTGCTACTCATAGCTAACAATAAGGTAGAGGCTAAAGATTTTGCCAACTTACATGTAAGGATTATCTGAGGATCTTTCCCTGGCCCAGTCCACTCCATGCTCTTCACTAGAGGGCCAATCCCTCAAGAAAAGTCTGATGGTTCCACTCAGGAGAATAGAAAACCTGCCCAGGCTCTCCTAGAAACAAGTCAGCCAAACAAATGAGGGCAAGGCCTGGGTAAAGATTTTGTGCAGGACCACTGCATTGTATGTGCAGGGAATCTGTTTTCTAAAATAAATTTCCTTACACTTTCCCTCTGTATAGCAATCTGTTTAAGCATCTCTGTTTCTCCACCATATCATGTGGGTTATGAATTATTATTTTTTACCAGAATATGAGCCAGCTTTAGAAACACAATCTAAAGGCCATCATTGGAGTCATTTGTGAAAACATTAAACAGCACCAGGTGCAGGGCTGACCCCTTGAGGACCACTACTCAATATGCCCCCAAGGCTGAAATTTAACCATTGATGACTTCTCAGTAGGGCCCTCTGACCAATACTACATCAATCAATAGTGTTCTTCCAACCCCACATCCTCAGAATCCCACTTGCTCTCTTTGGATCTGACTCCACTTATTAGTTATTTTACTCAGATAGGATAGCTAAAATGTTAAGGTATCTGCGCAAATGATTTATAAGAATGAGTACATACTTATGTATGACTTTGTGTCAATGACTTACAAAGAGTACAGATTCAATTGCATGAAAGGCATCAGTTGGCTAGTGATATGGTTTGGATGTTTTTCCCCACCCAAATCCCCAGTGTTGGAGGTGGGTCCTGGTGGGGGTGTTTGGGTCATGGGGATGGAACCCTCATGAATGGCTTTGTGCCATCCTCATGGTAATGAGGCAGTTCTCGCTGTATGAGCTCAGGCAAGATATTGTTGTTTAAAGAGCCTGGAACCTCTTCCCTCTCTCACTGTTGCTCCCTCTCACCATGTGATGCACCTGCTCCTCGTTTGCTTTCCACCTGATTGTAAGGTTCCTGAGGCCTTACCAGAAGCCAAGCAAATGTTGGTGCCATGCTTATACAGCCTGCAGAACTGTGAGCCAAAATAAGCCTCTTCTTTATAAATTACCCAGTTTCAGGTATTCCTTTATAGCAAAGCAAATGGACTAACACAGCTATCAAACATTTAAAAAAATGACTTTTCGTTGTTATTTTGCCTTAACAGGTTACTGAAATAATCTCTCTCCCCCACTGTTTGTGAAATCTTCTTTCCTAAGTGTCTTCATTAAGCCTTAACTCAACAATATGGACTCTGTGCATGGGTCATGGTGGGGTAGTGGGGGCATGGAAAAGGGTTAATCTGTTCAATTAGCATTAGATTTTACATGGTATTCTCTCTGTAGAATATTCACTACTTAATTTTATAATTTTACTAAATAAATCCAACCAGGAGACTTTCCACTTTATTTACTAATATAATTGTGATTTGATAAAATATTTTTAGAAGTAAAAAGTCGATAGACTTCATATTTAAAGCAGTTTTAAGTTTATAGAAAAGTTGAACAGAAAGGATAGAGAGTTCCTATAATGCTCTCCTTCCCCCCTTTCCCCCAGTTTCCCCTATTATTAACATCTTGCATTGGTGTGGTACATTTGTTACAACAGATAAACTGATATTTATTATTACTAATGAATATCCATAGTTTACATTAATGTTCACTTTTTGTGTTATACAGTTTTGTGAAGTTTGCAAATGCATAAACTTCTGTATCTAACATTATGGTGTCAGACAGAATAGAGGCATATCAAGGCATGTTCAGTAGGGTTTGGTTTCAGGCCACTGAAATAAAGTGAATATCTCAATAAAGCAAGTCACAAAAAATGTTTTGGTTTCTTAGCACATATAAATTATTACATTTACATGATACTGTGGTCTATTAAGTGTGAAATAGCATTATCTCTAAAAATGTGCAAAACTTAATTTAAAAATACTTAATTGCTAAAAAATGTTAACAATCATTTGAGCCTTTAGCAAATCATAGTCTTTTTGCTGGTGGAGGGTCCCACCTGGATGTTAATGGCTGCCCACCAATCAGGATGGTGGTTGGGGTGGCTGTGGCAATTTCTTGCTGAAGGTTGGGGTGGCTGTGGCAATTTCTTAAAATAATATATCCATGAGGTTTGCTGCATTGATGGACTCTTTCTTTCATGAAAGATTTCTCTGTAGCATGTGATGCTGTTTGATAGCATTTTAGCCACAGTAGAACTTCTTTCAAAATCATCTTAAACCCTGCTCCTGTTTTATCAACTAAGTTTATGTATATTTTAAATATTTTGTTGTAATTTCAACACTTCTCAGAGCACTTTCTCCATGAGTAGATTCTATCTCAAGAAACAACTTCCATCACTCATTTATAAGAAGCATCTCCTAATTTGTTCAAGTTTTATCATGATATTGCAGCCATATTCAGTCCCATCTTCAAGGCATCACTTCGAATTCTACTTCTCTTGCTGTTTCCACCACATCTGCAGTTACTTCCTCCGCTGAAGTCTTGAACCCCTCAAAGTCATTCATGAGGGTTGGAATCAAGTTCTTCCAAACTCCTGTTAATGTTGACATTTTGACTTTCCCTCATGAATCATGAATGTTCTTAATGGCATCTAGAATGGTGACTCCTTTCCAGAAGGTTTTCAATTTACTTTGCCCAGATCTATCAGAGAAAGCACTATCTATGGCAGCTATAGCTTACAAAATTCTTAAATAATGAGACTTAAAAGTCAAATTTTTTCTGAATCCACAGGCCGAAGAATGGAGGTTATGTTAGCAGATATGAAAAACCCATCGATTTCCTTGTACATCTCCATCAGAGGTCTTGGATGATCAGGTGCATTATGAATGAGCAAAGATAAAAAAGAAATCTCAAGAATCTTTTTTCTGAGAAGTAGGTTTCAATAGTAGGTGGCTTCAAAATTCAGTAAACCATGCTGTAAACAGATATGCTGTTATCCAGGCTTTGTTATTGCATTTATAGAGCACAGGCAGAGTAGATTTAGCATAATTCCTAAGGGTCCCAGGATTTTCAGAATGGGAAATTGGCTTCAACTTAAAGTCACCTGCAGCGTTAGCCCCTAAGAAGAGAGTCAGCCTGTCCTTTGAAGCTTTGAAACCAGGTTTTGACTTTTTCTGTCTAGCTATAAAAGTCCTAGAAGACATCTTCTTCCAAGAGAAGGCTGTTTCATCTACATCAAAAATCTGTTGTTTAGTGTGGCCACCTTCATCAATGCTCTTATCTAGATCTGAATAACTTGCTTGAGCTTCTACATTCAGCACTTGCTGCTTCACATTGTGCTTTTGTGGTTTTGAAGATGGCTTCTTTTCCTAAACCTCATGAACTAATCTCTGCTAGCTTCCAACTTTTCTTCTACAACTCCTTACCACTTTCAGCCTTCCTAGAATTGATGAGAGTTAGGTCGTTGCTCTGCATTGGGCTTTTACTTAAGGGAATGCTGTGGATGCTTTGTTCTTCCATTCCGACTATTAAATTTTCTCTATATCAGCAATAAGGCTGTTTTGTTTCTTTTTTTGTTTGTTTATCATTGGTGTGCTCAGTGCAGTAGCACTGTAAATTTTTTGAAGAACTTTTTATTTGCATTCACAACTTGGCTAATTGGTACAAGAGGCCTAGCTTTCAGCCTGTCTCGGCTTTTGATATGCCTTCCTCACTAAGCTTATTTCTAGTTTTGATTTTAAGTAGAGATATGCAGCTCATCCTTTCATTTGAACCCTTAGAGGCCATTGTAGAGTTATTAATTGGCCTAATTCCAATACTGTCATCTGTCAGAGACCCCAGAAGAAGGAGTGAGATGGCGGAAGGGCTTATTGTGGAGCAGTCAGATCACACAAAACATTTATCAATTAAGTTTATGGTTTTGTGTGTGGATGGTCCATGGTATCCCAAGACAATTACAATAGTAACATCAAATATCACTGATTACAGATCACCGTAACACATATACTAATAATGAAAAAGTTTAAAATATTGTGAGAATTATCAAAATGTAACACAGAGACATGAAGTGAGCATGCTGTTGGAAAATGGCACCTATAGACTTGCTTGAGGCAGGGTTGCCACAAACCTTCAATTTGTAAAAAGCACGGTATCTACAAAATGCAATAAAGCAAAGTGCAACAAAATAAGGAATGCCTGTAATTCCACTACCCTAAAAAATCCTCTGTGCTCCCTACTCACAACCCCATTTCCTGGCCACCACTGGTCTTTTTACTCTCTCCATAGTTTTGCCTTTTCCAGAATGCCATATAGTTAGAGTCATACAGTATGTAGCTTTTTCAGACTGACTGCCTTTGTTTTTTTGTTTGTTTGGTTTTTGTTTTTTGACACAGGGTCTGGCTCTTGCTCAGGCTGGAGTGCAGTCGCACAATCTCAGCTGGTTCACTGTATCCTCTGCATGCCTGGCCCAAGCCATCCTCCTACCTCAGCCTTCTGAGTAGCTGAGAAGTGTGCACCTTCAATGCCAGGCTAATTTTTGTATTTATTTATTTTTCTTGGTAGAGACGTGGTTTCCCCATGTTGCTCAGGCTGGTCTCAAACTCCTGGGCTCCAGTGATCCACTCCTCTCAGCCTTCCAAAGTGCTAGGATTACATAACAATATACATTTAAGATTCCTTCTTCTCTTTGTGGCGCAAAAGAATATTCCATCTATGGTGCATAGATACCACAGTTTGCTTATTCATTCAGGCGTTGAAGGATGTCTTAGTTGCTGCCAGTTTGGGACAATTATGAATAAAGCTAATATAAGCATTCTTGTGCAAATTTTTGTGTGGATATAGGTTTTCAGTTCACTTGGGTAAAGATCTAGGGGTGCGATTGTCAGATTATGTGGTAAGAATATATTTAGCTTTGTAAGAAGGTGCCAAACTATCTTTCAAAGAGGCTGCACTATTTTGCATTCCCACCAGCAGTGGATAAGAGTTCTTGGTGCTCCACATCCTTCTCAGGATTTGGTGGTGTTAGTGTTTTGGATATTAGTCACCGTATTAAGTGTGCAGAGATATTTCGTTATTGTTTTAATTTGCAATTCCCTAAAGAAATATGATGTTAACCATCTGTATTAGTCCATTTTCACACTAATAAAGACATACCCGAGACTGGGTAATTTTTATCTTTTTAATTTTTATTTATTTATTTATTTATTTTTGAGATGGAGTCTCGCACTATCACCAAAGCTGGAGTGCAGTGGCGTGATCTCGGCTCACTGCAACCTCCGCCTCCCGAGTTCAGGTGATTCTCCAGCCTCAGCCTCTTGAGTAGCTGGGATTACAGATACGTACCACTACGCCCAGCTAATTTTTGTATGTTTTAGTAGAGACAGGGTTTCACCATGTTGGCCAGGCTGGTCTCAAACTTCTGAACTCAGTTATCCATAGACTGGGTAATTTATAAAGAAAAAGAGGTTTAATGGACTCACAGTTCCACATGGGTGGGGAGCCCTCACAATCATGGCAGAAGGCAATAGGCACCTCTTACATGGCAGCAGGCAAGAGGGAATGAGAGCCAAGCAAAAGGGGAAACCCCTTACCAAACCTTCAGATCTTGTGAGATTTATTCACTACCATGAGCACAGTATGAGGGAAACCACCCCCATGATTCAATTATCTCCCACCATGTCCCTCCCACAGCACATGGGAATTATGGGAGCTACAATTCAAGATGAGGCTTGGGTGGAGACACAGCCAAGTCATAGCAGCATCTTTTCTTATCCTTATTTGTTATCTGAGTATTTTTTTTGGTGAGATGTCTGTTCAGATTTTTTACCCAATTTTAAATTCAATTTGTTTTCTTCTATTTTTTTCAAATTTACTTATTTGTTTTAAATGGACAGATAAATTGTATGCATTTATTGTGTACAACATGATGTTTTGAAGGATATATACATTGTAAAATAATTGAATCTCACTAATTAAAATATGTATTACCTAACATAGTTACCATTTTTATGGTGTACTATCTACTATATAGTAATATACTATTTTAGCAAATTTCAACAATACAATACATTGTTATTAACTATAATAACCATGTTGTACAATAGAGCTTTTGAACTTATTTCTCCTATCTAACTGTAATTTTGTATCTTTTGAGCCACATCTCCTCAAACTTCTCCACCCTAACCACCCTAGTGTCTGGCAACCACCATTCTGCTCTCTACTTTTATAAGATCAACTTTTTTAGATCCCACATAAGAGTAAGACCATTATTAGCTTAACATGATTCGTGATGTTAAGCAATTTTTCATATACCAGTTGGCCATTTGTATGTCTTTCTTTGAGAAATGTCAGTTCAGGATTTTTCTCCATTTTTAATTGGGTGACTTATTGTTATTGAGCTTTTAAAATTCCTTATGTTTTAAATACAGGTATTAATATTTTATCAGATGTATAGCTTGCAATTTTTTTCTCTCATTCTGTAGGTTTTATCTTTAGTCTGTTGATTGTTTGCTTTATTGTATAGAAACTTTTTAGTTTGATGAATTCCCATTTGGCTATTTTTACTTATGTTGCCTGAGGTAATATTCAATAAAAATATTTCCTGGATCACTGTCATGGAGCTTGTATTAGTCCGTTTTCATACTGCTATAAAAAACTTCCCAAGACTAAGTTTACAAAGGAAAGAAGTTTAACTAACTCACAGTTCAGCATGGCTGAGGAGGCCTCAAGAAACTTACAATCGTGGCAGAAGGTAAAGGGGAAGCAAGGCACCTTCTTCATAAGGCGGCAGGAAGGAGAAGTGCCAAGTGAAGGGAGAGGAGCCCCTTATAAAACCATCAGATCTCATGGGAACTCACTCACTATCATGAGAACACCATTGGGGAAACCATCCCCATGATCCAATTACCTCCATCTGATCTCTCCCTTGACGTGTGGAGATTATGGGAATTATAATTCAAGATGAGATTTGAGTGGAGACACAAAGCCTAATCATATCAGAGCCTTTCACCTATGTTTTCTTTTAGTAGTTCATTACATTTACATCTTTAACCCATTTTGAGTTGAGTTTTGTATATGGCTTGAAATGAGGGTCTAATTTTATTCTTCTGCATGTGGATATCCAGTTTTCCCAACACCATTTATTGGGAAACTGTCTTTTCCCTATTTTGTGTTCTTGGCACCTTGCCAAAAATTGCTTGCCATAAATGCATGAATTCATTCCTAAGTTTTCTATTCTGTTCCACTGGTCTATGTATCTTTTTATGCCAGTACCATGCTGTATTGGTTACTGTAGTTTTGTTCTCTATTTTAAAATCAGGTAGTGTGAGTCCTCCAGTTTTGTTCTTTTACTCAAGATTGCTTTGGCCAACATGCTCCTCAGTGACCCAAGGATCAATGAAGAAATTATGAAGGAAATTAAAATATTTCTTGAAACGAATGAAAATGGAAACACAACATACTAGAACCTATGGGGTACAGCAAAAACAGTACTAAATGGGAACTTTTTTTTTTTTTTTTTTGAGACAGAGTCTCACTCTGTCACCCAGGCTGGAGTGCAGTGGTGCAATCTTGGCTCACTGCAACCTCTGCCTCCTGGGTTCAAGCGATTCTCCTTCCTCAGCCTCCCAAGTAGCTGGGACTACAGGCACATGCCACCACACCTGGCTAATTTTTGCATTTTTAGTAGAGACGGGATTTCACCGTATTAGCCAGGCTGGTCTTAAACTTCTGACCTTGTGATCCATCCACCTTGGCCTCCCAAAGTGCTGGGATTATAGGTGTGAGCCAGTGCTCCTGGCCCTAAGTGGGAATTTTATAGCAATAAACACCTACACCAACAAAATAGAAGGACTCCAAATAAATAACCTAATGATTCATCTCAAGGAACTAGAAAAGTAACAAAATCATTAGAATAAAAGAAATAATAAAGGTTAGAGAATAAATCAAATTGCGACTAAACTGTGCAAAGGATCAACAAAATAAAAAGTTAGCTTTTTGAAAGAATAAAAAAAATCGACAAACTTAGCTATATTAAGAGAAAAGGAGAGAAGATTAAATAAGACCAAAAATGAAAAAGGAGGCATTACAATGGATAACACAGAAATAGAAAGGATCGTTAGAGACTATTATGAACAACTATCCACCAACAAGTTGGAAAACCTAGAAGAAATGAATAAATTCCTGGATACATACAACCCACCAAGATTGTACCACGAGGAAATAGAAAACGTGAACAGACCAATTATGAGTAATAAGATTGAATCAGAAATAAAATCTCCCATCAAGGAAAGGTACTGGACCTGATGGAGTCACTGCTGAATTCTACCAAATACTTAAAGAACTAAAGCCATACTACTCAAAGTATTTCAAGAAATGGAAGAAGAGAGAATGCCTCCAAACTAATTCTACAAGGCTGGCATTATCCTGATACCAAAACCAGACAAAGTCATGATAAAAAAAATTACTAGCCAATATATCTGATGAACATGGATGTACAAATTCTCAAAAAAGCACTATCAAACAGAATTCAACAACACATTAAAAAGATCATTTGTCATGATCAAGTGAGATTCATCTCACGGATGTAAGGATGGTTCAATTCATGCAAATCAATAAACATGATACATCACATCAAAGATATCAAGGACAAAACCATATGGTCATTTCAATAGATGCTGAAAAAACATTCAGTAAAAGTCAACATTGCTTCATGATAAAAAAAAAAAACCCTCAACAAACTGGGTATAGAAGGAATATACCTCAACATAATAAAGACCATATATGACAAGCCCACAGCTAATATCATACTGAATGGGGAAAAGTTGAAAGCCTTTTAACTAAGATCTGGAACAAGTCAAAGATGCCCACTTTCACACTTGTATTCAACATAGTACTGGAAATCCTAACCAGACCAATTAGGCAAGAGAAAAAGGGCATCCAAATAGAAAATTAATAAGTCAAATTATTTTTGTTTGCAATTGACATGATCTTATATTTAGACAAAACGTAAAGACTCCACCAAAAATGATCTTAGAACTGATAAATTTAGTAAAATTGTACAATGCAAAATCAAAATACAAAAATTAGGAGCATCTCTGTCAGTTAAGTGCTTAATCTGAAAAGGAAATCAAGAAAGCAATTCCACTGCAATAGCTACATAAAACAACAACCTAGGAATCAATTTAACCAAAGAAGTAAAAGATCTATACAAGGAAAGCTATAAAATACTGAGGAAAAAAAATTGAAAAGGACACAAAAATGGAAATATATTTCACACTCATGGATTAGAAAAATTAATATTGTTAAAATGTCATTGATTAGAAGAATTAATATTGCTAATATTGTTAAAATGTATTTGGGTATATTTCTGTACACCCAAAGAAATACACAGATTCAATGCAATTTCTGTCAAAATATCAATGATATTTCTTACAGAATAGAAAAAACAATCATAACATTTGTATGGAACCACTGAAGACCTCATAAAGACAAAGCAATACTGAGCAAAAAGAACAATACTAGAGGCATCACACCACCTGATTTCAAATTATACTATAAAGGTATAGCAACCCAAACAGCATGATATTGGTGTAAAAAGAGACACATAGGCCAATGAAACAGAATAGAGGACTCAGAAATAAGTCCATGCATTTATAGCCAACTCATTTTCAATAAAGGTGCCAAGAACATACATTGGGGAAAGAAGTCTCTTTAATAAATGCTTCTGGGAAAACTGGATATCCACATGAAGAAGAATGAAACTAGATTTTCATCTTTCACCATGTACAAAAATCAATCAAATGAACTCAAAATTGATTAAAGATGTAAATATAGGACCCAAAGCTATGAATCTAATAGAATAAAATATTGGAAAGTGTAGCAGGACATTGGTCCAGGCAAAGATTTTTGGGATAAGACCTCAAAAACATAGGCAACAAACGCAAAAATAGGCAAATGGAATTATATCAAGATAACAAGCTTCTGCCCAACAAAGGCAACAATTAAAGTAAAGAGACAACCTACAGATGGAAGAAAATATTTGCAAACTCTTCATTCAGCAGGGAATTAATAACCATAATATATAAGGAACTCAACCCAATGGCCAAAAAACAAATAATCTGATTTTTAAAATGAGCAAAAGACCTGAATAGACATTTCTCAAAAGAAGACATACAAATGGCCAAAAGGCATATGAAAATATCCTCAATATCACTAACCATAAGAGATGTGCAAATCACCATTATAATGAGATATCACCTCACCCCAGTTAGAATAGCTATTATCAAAAAATGAAAAAATAACAAAAGCCGATGAGGATGTGGAGAAAGAGGAATGCTCACAGACCGTTGGTGGAAATGTAAAGTGGTACATTATAGAAAACAGTATGGGGTTTTCTGAAAAAACTAAATACAGAGGTATCATACGATCCAGCAATTCCACTACTGGTATATATCCAGAGAAAATTAAATCAGTGTGCTGAAGAGATATATGCATTCCTATGTTTATTGCAGCACTATTCACAGTAGCCAAGATATGGAATCAACTTAACTGTCCATCAAGGGATTACTGGATAAAGAAAGAAAAAGTGGTATATATACACAATGGAATAATATTCAGTGTTTAAAAAGAAGGAAAATAGATAAACCTGGAGGATATTATGTTAAGTGAAATAAACCAGGCACAGAAAGACAAATATCACATGTTCTCATTCATATGTGGGAGCTAAACACCATGGCCTCCTGGAGGTAGAGAGTAGAATAGCGGCTACCAGAGTCTGAGGAGAGAAGCGAAAAGGAGGGAATGAAGTGAAGTTGGTTAACGGGCATGAAAATACTGTCAGATAGAAGGGATCAATTTCAGGCCTCAACGGTATAGTAGGGAAATTATAGTTAATAATAATTTATTATATAGTTTAAAAGATAAGAATTTT
The DNA here is from genome assembly GCF_000001405.40 of Homo sapiens. Taxonomy (NCBI): domain Eukaryota; kingdom Metazoa; phylum Chordata; class Mammalia; order Primates; family Hominidae; genus Homo; species Homo sapiens. Next base: position 78,806,853 of record NC_000013.11, read on the forward strand.
AACATTCCCAACACAGCAAAAGATAAATGTCGGAGGTGATGGCTATCCTAATTACCCTGATTTTATTACACATTGTACACATGTATAAAAATGTCACATGTACCCCCAAACTATGCATAACTATGATATATCAATTAAAAAATACAAAAGAAGACTGCATTGGCTATTCAGGGTCTTTTGTGGTTCCATATGAATTTTAAGATTGTTATCTTTCTATAATGAATGTCTTTGATATTTTCATAGGGATTGCATTGAATCTGTAGATCTCTGTGGGTAGTATGGAAACTTAAACAATATTAATTCTTCAATCCATAAGCATGAGGTATCTTTTCATTTATTTGAGTCTTTTTCTTTTTTCTTTTTTTTTTTAGAGATAATTTTATTTATTGAGAAATATAACTTGGCATTGCTGGTTTTCAAGCAATACAATTAAGATATTTGAGTCTTTTTCCATTTCTTTTCTTAAGTCTTCTCTTTTATAGATTTTAGTATAGAAATGTTTCACCTCCTTGGCCAAATTTATTCTGAAGAGTTTTATCTTTTTACATATTATAAATAGAATTAGTGTTTTCTTGATTTCTTTTTCAGATAGTTTGAAGTTAGTGTATAGAACCTCTACTGATATTTTTATATTGACTTTGTATCCCCCAACTTGACTGAATTCATTTATTAGTTCTCATAGTTTTTTCATGGAGTGTTTAGGGTTTTCTATATATAAGATCCCTGAAAACTGGGACAATTTATTCCTTTACAATTTGGATGCCTTTTATTTTTTATCTTGCTTAATTGGTCTGGCTAGGACTTTCAGTACAATGTTGAATAGAAGTGGCAAGAGTAGGCATCCTTATCTTATTCCTGATCTTAGAGGACAAGCTTTCAATTTTCCCCATTAAATATTACATTAGCTGTGAGATTGCCAATATATCGTCTTTATTGTGTCAAGGCACATTTCTTCTATACCTAATTTGTTGAGAGCTTTTTTTCATGAGATGATGTTAAAGTTTGTCAAATGCTCTTCCTACATCTCTTGAAACAATTATGTTTTTTTCTTCATTCTGTTAATGTGATGTATCATGTTTATTAATCAGCATAGGTTGGACCATTCATACATTCTTGAGATAAATCTCACTTGATCATGGCGAATGATTTTTCTAATGTGCTGTTGAATTTGGTTTACTAGTATTTTGTTGAGGATTTGTGAATCTATGTTCATTAGTGATATTTTTTCTATAGTTTTCTTTTTATGTAATGTCCTTTCCTGGCTTTGATATCAAGGTAATGCTAATCTCATGAAGTTAAATTTAGAGTATTCCTTCTTAAATTTTTTGAGGAGAATTTTAGAAGAATTTGCGTTAGTTTTTCTTTAAATGGATTTATAATTTAGGTATGAATTGGCTAAATTTAGAAATTAGCTATCAAGCCATTTGGTCCTGTGCTTTAATGGGTGACATTTTATTACTGATTCAAACTCCTTGCTCATTTATTGGTCTGTTTGAATTTTCTATTTATAATTTAATCTTGGTAGGTTGCATGTGTCAAATAATTTGTTCACTAATATGTTGGTATATAATTATTCATAACAGTCTCTTATGATCCTTCGTATTTCTGTGGTATCAGTTGCAATAACTCCCTTTTCATTTTTTGTTTTATTTGCTCTTCTCTCTTTTTTTCTTAGTCAATCTAGATAAAGGCTTGTTAATTTTGTTTATCTTTTCTAAAAAAACAACCATTTGTTTCATTGATCTTTTGGATTTTTTATTAGTCTGAATTTCATTTATCTGCTCTGATCCTTATTATTTCCTTTCTTCTACTAATTTTGGAGTTATTTTGCTCTTTCTAGTTTTTTGAGATGCAACAGTAGATTACTCATTTGCATTTTTCTTCTTTTTTGATGTAAGCATTTATTGCTAGAAACTTCCTTCTTGAACTGCTGTTGCTGCAGTTCTTATAAGTTTTGGTAAGTTGTGTTTTATTTTCCTTTGTCTCAAGATACTTTTAAAATTTTGATTTAATTTCTTGATTAGCCTATTGGTTGTTCAAGAGCAGGATGCTTAACTTTTACGTATTTCGTAAATTTTCTGAAGTTCGTAGAAATTATTGATTTCTAGTTTTCTACCATTTTGGTCAGAAAGGATACTTGATATGATTTCAATATTCTTACATTTGTTAAGACTTGTTTTGTGGCCTAACACATCATCTATCACAGAGAAAGCTCCATATGCACTTGAGAAGAAGGTGTATTCTATAGCTATTGGACAGAATGTTCTGTAAATGTCTATTTGGTCCTTTTGGTCTAACATGTAGTCTAATTTTGAGGGTTTTTAAAAATTGATTTTCTGTCTGGATGATGTGTCCATTGCTGAAAGTGTGGTGTTGAAGCCCCCTACTATTATTATATCTCAGTCTATTTTTCCCTTCAAATTTATTAATATTTGCTTTATATACTTTGGTGCTCTAATCTTAGGTGAATATATATTTATAATTTTTATATTATTTCGGTGGATTGACTTGTTGATTATTACAGAATGACCTTCTCTGTCTCTTTTTACAATTTTTGATTTAAAGTTTTTTTCACCTAATATAAGTATAGCTATTCCTGCTCTTTTTGTTTCAATTTGAATGCAATATCTTTTGCTCTCTCTTCACTCTCAAGACTATGTGTGTCCTTACAGGTTAGTGAGTTCCTTGTAGGCAGCATGTAGTTGGGTCTTTTTTTTTTTTATTCATTCAGCCACTATATGTCTCTTGATTGGAGAATTTAATCCACTTACATTTGAGGTAATTGCTGATAGGTAAGGATTTACTACTGCCATTTTGCTAATTCTTTCTAGTTGTTTTGTATATTTTAGTTTCTTCCTCTTTTGCTGTCTTTCTTTGTTGTTAAGTGATTTTCTCAGTGGTATGTTTCAATTCCTTGATTTTTACTTTTGGTGTATCTACTATTGGTTTTTACTTTGTGGTTACTATGAGGCTTAAAAGAACAACTTACTGTTATAGCAGTGTATTTTAGGCTGATAACAACTTCATTTTGATCACCATAAGAAGCACTCTACAGTTTACTTGACTCCTTCCATTTGGAATTTTTGATGTTACAATTAATATTTTTTATATTGCATATACCTGCAGTTATTAATTAAACAATTTTGTCTTTTAATGTTTATACTAAAGGTATAAGTGATTTACATATCACCATTACAGTACTAGAGTTTTCTGAATTTGACTGTCTACTTACTTTTACTAGTGAGTTTTATACTTTCATATATTTGTATGTTACTCATTAGCACGCCTTTCTTTTACCATGAAGAATTCTCTTAAGCATTTATTATAAGATAGGTCTATTGTAGATGAACTCCCTCAATTTTTGTTTGTCTAGGAAAGTGTTTATCTTGCCTTCATTTCTGAAGGAGAGTTTTGCTATGTTTTGTTTTTTCTTCTCACCACTTTGAATATATCATCCCACTATCTCTTGGTCTATAAGATTTCTGCTGAGAAGTCTGCTGCTAGGCATTTTGGAACTTCCTTACATATTATTGGCTTTTTCTGTATTGCCGATCCTTAATTTTCAACAGTTTGATTATGTCACAGGATAGTCTTATTTGGATTGAATTTGATGGAGACTTTTGGCTTGCCTGCACCTAGATATTTGTATCTGTCTTCAGGATTGGAAAGTTTTCTGCTATTATTTCTTTGAGTAAACTCTGTTTTTTAAAAAAATCTCAGTTGTATTTGTTATAACTCCCCAGTTTATTTTGAAAACAGTCTTTTCTGACATATTCATATAAATTTGAGATGAGTTATCTCAGCATACACAGACATCTTCTATATTTTCTATAATTTTTAAATGCTGATGAAAGAATGCATATTAACATATCAATATTTAAGCATGCCAACATAATAGAACTTTTCAAACTTTTTAAATTAAGTTTTTTAACTAAGCGTATTCATATTTGACACTTTGACATTTGGGTTACATGTGCTTGTAAAAAATAGGTGTATTCCTCAACTGACCATAATGAAAATCAGCATATAAGTATCATTCTTTCTTAATTAAATTTTCAGGGACAAAGTGGTTTAAATGAGAGTAAATAAGCTGAACTCCTCATGAAATAAACTGGAAAAACAAAAATCAAGAAGTGTTAGAGGTATTAAAGGTTAATTTAATAATCTTTTTCTCTTTCATATCCTTTATGTATTTATTTATTTATTATTTTTTTGAGAAAAAGTCTCACTCTGTCATCCAGGCTGGAGTGTAGTGGCACAATCTTGGCTCACTGCAACCTCCGCCTCCCAGGTTCAAGTGATTCTCATGCCTCAGCCTCCCGAGTAGCTGGGACTACAGGTGTGCGCCACTATGCCCAGCTAATTTTTTGTATTTGTCATAGAGACAGGGTTTTTCCATGTTTGCCAGGCTGGTCTTGAACTCCTGAGCTCAGGCAACCCGCCAGCCTTGGCCTCCCAGAGTGCTAGGATTACAGGCATAAGCCACCATGCCCAGCCTCATATATTTTAAATATATAAGTGTTCACCATGGGTGTTTATGAATTAAAATATTTCTAATCTAGACTGTGAGCTCCTATTGATGGGGCTAGTGTTATGCAATAAAAGGCCCTGGGACAAAAAGAGAGAGATGGCTCAGTAGACTAGATTATTTAAGTCTCAGTGGGCTTAGATCTTGACCTGCACCTTAAAATAATGTTTTACTTCATTATGTTTGTTTCGTTGTTCTATATGTTGTTTGTTTCACTATTTTTATAGATGAGGCAAAGTGGGAGTTTCAACTAGTCTAATATACCTTATCAACTGTCTGAGTAAGATTTTTATTTATTTTTCTGCCAAGCACACTGAATTCCATCTACAATTCTTTTAAGATAAGAACCACTAAGTCAACTGGAGAAACAGCTGGGTTCTTGAGCTATGGAACACTATTACACTTTAGCATGTTGTCTGAGAAATGAAGCTCCTTAGTGGTGCTTCTCCTGGTACTTCACTGAAATATACATACTCTCAGACCATGCTGCAAGATGGGGCCTTACTTAAGCATTTGAAACTTCAAAGCAAGTGAATGCCTTCTTGGCTGGCCCTTTCTTTCTTCTTACAATTTCTTTGGGGTTTCTACCCACTTCTGGTTCCTCTCTTACAAAAGCCTCCTAATGCTTCTTCTTTTTTTCCCCCACAGTGGGCCTTGATGGACACTAGTCCAGAGTCCAAGACCCTAGCAAGATTAAAAAATATTGACTCTGAGAGTTTAAAACAAGCCTTTAGCAACATAAGTACTTTTTAGGAGGAGAGAGACTATTTAACTTATGTATTGGTACATGGGTTATAACGTACATGGTACATATATTAGTACATTGGTTAGTGCATTATTACATTAGTTCTAATTAGTAATTAGTACTAATACATGTACTAATGTACTAACATACATGTATTATTACATGGGCTAAATAGTCTTTCTGCCCTGGGAAAAATCAGTAAACATAAATACAATTGAATTTTGTGTTAAATATAAGTTGAACTTTTCATATCTTGCCTCTTTTCTGCTACACAGCTATTCAATCTGCATAGCTTGAGAAGGTCACCAGTTTTGATCTGCTCCCTTTTGCAGGATCAAGCAGAAATGCAAATGGTTCCATTTTCCTTCTGGATCATTCTTGCCTCATCATTGTTCAATATAAGTCTCTGCAATGATTAAGAGTTCTATATCTATGGTTATCAAACACTTGATATATAGCTAGTGTCACTGCAGAGCTGAATTTGTAACTTTTATAAGTCTAATAAATTTATTTATTTATTTTGAGACAGAGTCTGGCTCTGTTACCCAGGCTGGAGTGCAATAGTGCAATCTCCGCTCACTGCACCCTCCACCTCCCAGGCTCAAGCGATCCTCCCATGTCAGCCTCCCAAGTACCTGAGACTACAGGCAAGTGCCACCATGCCCAGCTAATTTTTGTATTTTTAGTAGAGATGAGGTTTTGCCATGTTGGCCAGGTTGGTCTCAAACTCCTGGGTTCAAGCGATCTGCCCAGCTTAGCCTCCCAAAGTGCTAGGATTACAGGTATGAGCCACCAAGCCTGGCCGAGTCTAATAAATTTAAATTTACACTTAAATAGTCACATGTGGCTATCACATTGGAAACTATCACATTGGAAAACATAGGCTTAGGTGTTCTGGAAAGCAACTTAATAGCATGTATCAAGAATCTGAAAATATTAATATTCTTTTAATTCAAGAACTATATTTCATGGTAAAATAGTAAAAGATTCCTACTCAAGAATGTGTATTTTAACACTTGCATTCTAAACAAAATTGGAAGAGTCAGATAAGTTATGATATATTCCATAGCTGTTAAATATTGGTTTAAAATGAAATTTAAATACATAGGTTAATGCCTATGTTGTTAAGTAAATATACATGGATTCAAACTTTCCATAATGTTATCCCAAATTTATATATGTGTATGTGTGTGTGCATGTGTGTGTATATATAATTAAAGGTATATTAAAGAAAACCAAAAAATTAATAGCTTTATTTTTAAAATAATGAGCAGTAAATGATTTTATTCTTTACATTTTTCTTGTAATTTTAAACTTTTATATACAGAATAGGAGTTGCTTTTTAAATGAAAATATACTCAGTAAACATTATTCTTAAAACAGTTGTAAGTAATATAGAAGACATGAAAGTAAAAATTGAGACAAGAGCATTGTATTTTAGAACTAGAAGGTAAGTGATAGAAGTTGAGAGTGCAGATTTAGGTAGACAGTGTCAGAAGTTGAACAAAAGGGATTGCAAAGTGAGTAGGGAGGAAATATCAAAAGGCTCTGTTTCTTTGGAAGGTACAACTCTGAAAGGAAGGAGGAAAATACATCATAATCATATCATATCAAACACTTGATGTTTTGAGTATCTACTAGGTATTGTACTTGACTTTTTACATGTAACTGACAAAACAGTTAAGTATTGTAATATCCATTGTAATAAAACTCCTAGTTTTATTATTATAAAACATAATAATGAAACCTCCTAGTTTTCTTTATTATAATGGGCATTACATTACTTACTCAAATTACTCAGAGAAACTGAGTAAATTGGTCTTGCAAAAACAAAGCATCTGCCACTAAAATTTGGTGACTTTGTACTATGCTCCACTGTCTCTTACAGGATGAGACTAGTAAGGTCAAGTGAGTGGTGGTTTTTGTTGTTGTTGTTGTTTGTTTGTTTGTTTTCCAGCTAGTGCATATCTATCTAAGCAAGGAGCAGCAAATCACCATGGCACGTGTATACCTATGTAACAAACCTGCACATTCTGCACATGTATCCCAGAACTTAAAGTATAAGAATAATAAAAAAGAATCGCACGGCACTGTGCTCTCTTACAATACATATTTCATTTCCTCATCGGTAGGGTGGAATAGCTAATATATGAGGATGGACTCCCACCAGCCTGGATTCAAATCCCTCTGCTCCACCTTGTACCCTCTGCATGACTGTGGGTAGGTTACTTAGCCCTGCCAGCCTCAGTTCCCTCATTTATCTAGTGGAGATAATATTATCTACCTCAAGAGCTGTTACAAAGATTGGGAGGATAATATATATAAACACACAATGCCTGGCAGAAAAATTACCCTGATGCACAGTGGATGCAGTTATTGATACTGTTTTTGCTGTAATATTGCTGAGGAGTTGCCCTGGATATTTTGGAAGTTATAGAGCGCAAGTCTTGAATCTGTTATCATTTTTAAAATGTGTTATATTTTACTATGCAAATACAAAATTTTTGTCACGGGCTGATTGATTCTCTCAACAAACATCTCTGAATCCCAACTGTGTGCCCAATGCAATACTAGGAAATGGAGATGGAAGAATGAATTAGACATTGGCCCTCTGCTAAGAAGCAAGTGGAGAGACATTTATGTACAGTGCTTAAAGTGATGTAGTGGATGCTCTGCTAGAGATAGGTGCTTACTGCTAGGGAAGCTTGAGGGAAGTAACACTCTGCCTGGGGTGGTGCAAAAGGCATCAAAGAGAAGGTGGCTTTTTAGAGTAATAATACCTAACACCATCTTCCACAGTCCATGAAGTGTACTGAGAGTTTCACATATTTTTTGAATTTTCTCTTCATTGTATAATTCTGCCTCCTATCACATGACTCTCTACAGGAAGTTGCAATATAAGCAAATCTCCTCATATGCTATTGAGAAAAAGTGAGGGTATGGGCTTCTCCAAGTGTATTCTTCTATGGGAAGCTACCCCTCACAGGCGCTACCTAAAAAGAATGCTGTAGTCAAATATATTTGAGAAATAAGTAATGCTTTTGCATCTTAAGAGTACTGCAGTGTATGGTAACATTTGCAGGTTCTAAGAAGACTTGTTGAGATTTTTTAAACTCAAGACTTTTCCCAAATAGCAACTACAATTAAAAAAATAATAATAACAATAGATACTTCAAAGAACTAAGGTTTGTGGAACTCTGTGGAGGTGCTGATTTAGGATGTATCTCTACCTCCTAAACAAACATCTGTATAAGTTCCAGAGTACTCTTTTTCACAGGGAGAGGCATGGAGGATGGTGACATCAGGCATATATTTTGGAATATTTCTAACGAAAGTGACACATGCTTGGCATGGTGGGAATGGTAGAAGCTGAGCAGTTAGTGAAGTAGCATAAAGTACAGAACCAGAAAATGGCAAAGCTGTAGAAGATTGTATTGTTTAGAAAAGAGGCGAATATGCTGAAAGTATAAGTTAAGCCCTTGTGAAATTACAGAAGGATGATGACATTACAAAGTTTTTAGAAAAGATATACACAACTACTATTACACTAATACGAAAGAATATACTGTTTATATTTTTTGCTGGTTATACTCTATCTTAAACTATTTCTAATTAAAATTTCTCTTATTTCCTCATATCCTCCAATATTCCAACATTTGGTTTTATAATATTATCTGTTGATTAACAAGCCTTTTGAAATCACTGAAAAATATTTTAAGATTATAGTATTTCATTGCATGAGTGGTTTTCAATGATACTGTGATCGTGACCTGAATTTTCTTATCAAGTATAACAAATCTTCTCTGATGTCTGGTTAATTATTGCAATTTGATGAATACCTGTTTAATGAAGTTGAAGTGATTCTAACACTTATATTTTACCTTAATATTGTTATGTAAATGGTTCTAGAAGATGATAAAATGATAAAAAGGCATATTCCAGGGATGCCCCTTTCTCTATTCTGATTCTACCTCTTGCACTTTGGCTCTTTAAGTTTTCTAACTGTCATCAAATCAGCACTTCCAGGAGGTAGTAAATGCTCCATTGGATGATGCACACATCAAAACTTTGGTCACTAGCTTGAACACACAGGCCCTCAAAGGAAAACATAAAAGGCCAGAATGGGGGAGATGGATTTGACTACATAGCAGCAAAGCATATTCCAGGGCTAAGCACCAGGTGTGGTCTGGGATCCTTCGATGGTGTCAGTGCTGGAACAAGCTTTGCCAGACTCAGGGAGAGGATTCCTAGGCACTAATGAGTAATTTGCCTCCACTGGGAGGAAAGGGGGTTACAGACAGCCAGGGACAGAAGTGTTCAGGGATCTGCTTTCTTTTCCTGTCCACTGTCAGCCCAGATTTTGTAATCCACATCTCCTGTTTTCCCATACTACAGTAACAACAACAACAAAAAAAAAACTAAGGTTTACTTTTTAATTAAATGTAGTACCACTTAGGAAGATGTATGTTAATCTGAGGCCAAATCTGCCGCCCTCAGCTTTACAAGTTGCTGGCCCCAGCAGAGCCTGTAAAGCTCTCGATAAGAGAGGCGAGGAGCAAGGTGCAGGTCCCTCAGCGATAACCTCCTGACTCCAGCATTATAGGTCTTTCTGCTGGAATTGAGTTCTACATCTTACTCGATGGGCTATTGTCACAGATGAGTAATGAACGCACCCTTCCTGAGTCCCGGGGTGCAGGAGGCAGTCGGTCAGGCCACAGGGAGGCCCAGCTGCAGGCCCGCGGCGGGCAGATAAAGGGAAGGCAGTTCAAGGCACAGGGACACCGGTGACTGTTCAGAGAGCAGCCACAGGACGGGCCTGTTGGCTGGGGCAGGGAGCGGGCGCATTAATCACAATGTTCCCTGGGCTAATGGGCAATGCCGAGAAAGCAGCCTGGACCCGCAGAACAAAGGCAGAACATGATGAAGAGGGCACATTTGCCAGCTGAGGGTTTCCAGGGTTGGTTTTTGGAAGGAGAAATAAAATAAATAATAGCTACCATGAGCACAAATTGCAGGTGGAAGGCATGATTAGGTAGCAGGTTGAGGTAGCGTCCTTTGCAAAATGGGTCTGGATATACTTCATTTGGATGTTTGATTTCCTTGCAGCTTCCTAAGGAGCTCAGCTCAGGGGTGAAGGGCATCCTCTTTGAGGAACAACACTGCAGGCTCGAGTTCTAGTAAGTGGCTGGTTGGCTGGTTATAATTTAAAAAATAATGCTGGAGGTAACTCCTGAGATATAACAGGTGACATAATTAACTATAGTTTTAAAATCCTTACTTGCAATGCATTATATATTATTCTTAAAATTACAATTTCATTGATTTATCAAATAGATCTTCATTTTTTTAAAAAAGAGTAACCTAACTAGCGTGGCTCCCCTTGACTGTTCCTTCCTTTCTGAGACAGATAAGGAGAGAAAAAAAGAAAGAGAGAACATCCTTCTAGCCAAGAGCAGCAAAACTTTAAAAGCAGAAATGAAAATATATGACCCAACTATTTCCATGAGCTTAAAATACTCCACAACTTTCAGGAATAATGATTTAGAGGGAGGTAAACCAATTGACTATTTTCTTTTATATTTTTATAGCAATTGTATTGGCCCAATTGATGAGGTGATTTGTTTAAATCATTTTTATTCAGAAAAATTTTATAATCTCCTTCACAGTTTTCAAAATAATAGCTTTAATGGTTGTTAGAAAAAGTTTTAAGTCAGAAGTTTTGGGAGAAAAAGGAAGAAAGGTGGAAGCAAGTACTAAGTAGAACAATTAATTCCAGCTGGGCCAAATAGGCAGAACACAGTTTCTATTCTGTCAAACCAGGAGCATCTCCTAAGTGTCAGGCCTGAGTGGCACAGCGTGATGAGCTTCCTGTCTAACCAGTCACTTGGACCGTAGTAGGAACGGTATTTTCTTTGCAATGGTGAAATTGTATTAGAGATAGCTAGTGGCCTGAGAGAGCTATGTTTTCATTTTCATTCAGTTTTATTTTTAAAAAATTTACTTGCTTCTGACCGGACGTGGTGACTCACGCCTGTAATCCCAGCACTTTGGGAGGCCAAGATGGGCAGATCACGAGGTCAGGAGATAGAGACCATCCTGGCTAACACAGTGAAACCCTGTCTCTACTAAAAATACAAAAAATTAGCCGGGCCTGGTGGCACGCGCCTGTAGTCCCTGCTACGCTGGAGACTGAGGCAGGAGAATCGCTTGAACCCGGGAGGCGGAGGTTACAGTGAGCCGAGATTGCGCCTCTGCACTCCAGCCTGGGCGACACAGAGAGACTCTGTCTCAAAAAAAGAAAAAAAAATTTACTTGCTGCTTTTTCACTTTTAGTAACTTTAGTATAGTAATATTCCTTCCCACCCCTAAATTCTATGCTTATTAAAGTGGCAGCATATTAGAGACATCAAACTAATTGTCAGCAAACTTAAGAATCTAGTTCTGCTTTGCCAATTGCTAATTGTTTGGGCTTTGCAAGCAGTTTCATTTGAGGGTAAAGGAGATCTCCTTTTCTAATCTTTAAAATGTAGACTTAGCAATAGAGTTTCATCGATTTTTTGCTCCTTCCCCTCAAATGCAATTAAACTACAAAAATCTTCCTGTTTCTCTATTTGCCTTTGAACAAGGCATTCAGAAATCTACATAAAATGTTATAATGAATTAAAGTATGCTACGTGTTCCATTAGTAAGAGTTATACTAAATTCATGTGTGTAGTATATGAGATGAAGTACCCTAGTGGCTCAAACATAGGAAAATCTTAGATTTTTAGATAATAACAACAGAGCATTCCAGCAACCGTAAAATTAATATATCAATTACAATAAATTGTGGTTCCTAATTTTCAGGAACTGTAATCATGAATAGGAAGAGTAGATACTTGGGAATTATTTATCTATGTAGATTTATAAATTCATATATATATAAATCTACCATACATAATTATATATATATTTTATATATATAGAACCAAAATACTTCTCTTATAATGTTCAAATAGAGTGTATAAATTTATATATTATATATATCCTATTTGAATATTATAAAATAATATATAAATATAAATATATATTTATGTATTTATATATAATTTATACATAATATATAAATATATAATATATTAATATAAAATATATTAAAATATATTAAAATATATAATATTGTAAAAATATATAATATATAAAAATATATAATATATATCCTATTTGAACATTATTTATAAGAGAAGTATTTTGGACCTATACCCAAATTTGGAGAAAGTATTTGATTGGAACCATAACCATATTTCTCCTGTGATTTCTTCTTGAAGCCTATCTGGGAGATTCTTGCTTATTTCCTGACTGCAGGAGGACCCTCACTTATCATTGTAATATAGTGACCTGAGTCCAAAGCAGACCCACCTCCTTCACAACAGGAGGGCATGAGTTAGAATGTATCCTCTGTGAAGAAATACCCAGGCCTTTATGGGGCTGCAGAACTCTCCTAACTCCTGGGTCATCATCTGGATAAATATATTTAGTTTCCATGCATGGTCCCAGAAATAAAGGAAGTGAACCAGAGGGCTCATAGCTGCTCTCATTTCAGAACAGTTGACTGTCCATTATTTATAGGAAATCAGGGAGTCCTATTTTGAGCCAGGAAAGAGGTGATTGAAGGAGTACATCATGATTTGAATAATCAATTCTGTTAGTTAACCTTCAACCCTCAGCAGTACCCCAATAGGCATAGGTCAAATGAGTATTAATGAATGTTTTTCTGAATGTGCGATCTGAGTGGGTAGGATCATCATAGTATTATCAGTTTTATGCTAAAATTTTAGATTTTACAAATGGCTGAATTGGCTTAAGAAATGTACAAAATGCATAATCTCCAAAAGAAAAAAAATACCCCCCCAAAAGTAGAAGAATAAGCCTAAAATCCTGGACAGAATCCTCAAAGTCTAATTTATTATAAATAAATAAAGAGATTGATCATGGATGAGAACCAAAAAATGTTATTTAGCTTCAAAACATGTCTAATATGTGTGTGTGTTTGTGTATGTGTGCATTTTTCCACATTAAAATTTGCTCCTATGGTGTTCATTTTGAATCCTGTAGAAGTATCAAGAAGCAAACTTCTTAATATATTAAAGACTGATAAAACAGATATAATGGTAGCAAACTTTATCATGTATTAAAGACAGATAGGATGGTTATAATCATGGAAGGCATGCATGACTGTTTATTTTTTGCTTTGTAAAGATTATATTGGTGAGAAAAAGAATATTCTGGACTGAAAATAATTCCGATGCTCCGTTTTCTAAAATGAGATTCTTTTTTAGAGTTTGCCGTGGTCTGTGCCATTACATATTTTGATGCATTTGAAGTGCTGCTAGAAAGAAACCGAGTTCTTGTTAGAATTTAAAACACAAGGATCCATTTCTGCCTAACAGTCTTGTAGTTGTACATTCCCTGAAGTGTATCCCATCTGCTTTTGGGAGCTCTCATTGCAATATGCAGTGATTGCAGGATAAGCACACCATTTTCCTGTCAATACTTTCCTATTAGCCTCCTGGATCCATACATCATCATCTTGCTGGCCTGCAGTTTGCTTATCTTTGTCTCAGAGGTTGCCTTTGATTTATCTAACACCCAAGCTAATGAGGCATGGAGCCCAGGGTGGCTCCAAGGATAATGCACTCCTGTATAAAAATGCTTAAGGAAGGATCAAGTGCTAATCCATTCTAGACTAAAAGGCCTTAGTCCTTCAACAAATGTTGTATTTCTTAATCGCTAAACTAAGACTATAATAGCTCCCCCTTAAGCTACTACCATCAGTAAAACCACACACACTAACTACATGCAATTTACCAAAAGAACTAAAAATTGGATTTTAATTTGTGCTTCCAAAAAAAAGCCAAAAAATGGTTTCTATCTTAGCAACAGTTATCAGCATTATTTGACAGCATTCTTATGCAAGAATAAGTTAGCTTTAATATTTAATTTACAGTAATAGTTTTATATTCCCTCGCTGGGACCTATGTTTTTCTAAAGACAAAAGTAACAGAAGCTACAGTGTTACTGTGATATGGATAAATCAAGCCAACCATTTCAATAATGGAGGTAATTACGAAGTGTACATATCCGAAATGTACCGAGTGGTTAGGGGTTGTTTAATTAACAGAAAAATTTCAATATCATCAGCAAGTGTGTTGGTATCACAAAAGCATTGTTAAGAATGTATTTAAAAATGGTAATGATTTTCATTATTTTAGTTATACACAATTTAGCTATAGAAACACTTTTCACTAATACACCGTGGATTCTACTTCACTGCAACAACACAGCACAACATGAAGAAGTAAGTGATTGAATTTGGTCAATGTAAATAACCAACCTAGAAATATAGGTCCAAAATATTTATCTTAGAAATAATGTTTAAATAGGATATATATATATCTATCTCATATATACATATATAAATCTACATATATAAGTAATTACCAAATTTTTCAGTGTAAAGAACCTTGAATTCACTCTACAGAGATTTTCTTAAACTGTTTTGCTTTTTCTATTAATCATTCGCCATAAAATTAAGATGCAGAAGTTTCTTCCCTTTATAAATCTTCTGCCAGTACTAGGATCAAAACTATTTTAGAGAAACAGAAGAGAGAAAAAGGAGAGGAGGAGAAAAGAGAAAGGAAGGGAGGGAAGGAAGCAGAGAGGAGGAAAGAAAAAAGCTAGTCGGTAACTAAACTGTGGCAAAAGTTCAAAGAGAAGAAAGGCTCACTCAGAAACGTTGTGCAACATTAAAATCTTTCACCCACTGGTTCACTCTGTGCCCCTGAGGACATGACCAAGGTAATAAGTCCCTTTATTGGTCTCTAACCAATGTTATTGAGAACCAGGGTGGAATTTAATAATGTGACATTATTAGGAATTGTTATTGAAATGTAAATGATCTTCAGTTCATTTATTTAAGTCACATAAAGAACATAGTTTAGAATGAAAATTACTTATTGATTATTAGAGCAATTAACAGAATAAATTTTAGTGCTGGTATTAACATTTTCCTAAAGTCCAAACTGTTGCTGCTTAAACTCAGCAGGACACTTAATTAGTCTGGGACTCAAAGATTATCTTTTTTGAGAGAGTTACCTTTAAAGGATTTTTTTAAAAACAAGAAATTGATTGCCAAAATTACTCTAAAATATCCGAACTTTCAAAATTTTGGCTTTTAGTAGGGGAGAAACATCCCAGAATAAGATGGAGCTGCATAGACATAATTGCATAAGTAAAGGAATAGAATATTCTAATTTTGCTTTATTAAAAGAAACTTTGAAGTCTATTAAAGTGGAATCTGTAATGTCAATTTCCTTTTTTTCCGTTTTTGCTAGTTTCTGTCAGCATCATTTGACATTTTAGGGGTTGACTTTTCTTAGTTGTAATTCTTTCTTTCCATTAGTCTTTATTTTAAAGATAAGATCAGTTCTTAGAATACAGCTTTGTCAGAACTTGAACATCTTTTCGATGGCTTTCTAGATGTGATAATGATGTATACATTTACATATAAAAAGGTGTATAATAGGCTGGGCACGGCGGCTCACTCCTGTAATATCAGCACTTTGGGAGGCCGAGGCAGGCGGATCAAGAGGTCAGAAGATCGAGACCATCCTGGCTAACACGGTGAAATCCCGTCTCTACTAAAGATACAAAAAAAAATTAGCCGGGCGCGGTGGCGGGCGCCTGTAGTCCCAGCTACTCGGGAGGCTGAGGCAGGAGAATGGCGTGAACCCGGGAGGCGGAGCTTGCAGTGAGCCGAGAAGGCGCCCACTGCACTTCAGCCTGGGTGAAAGAGCGAGACTCCGTCTCAAAAAAAAAAAAAAAAAAAAGGGGCTGTATAATAAAGATAATTCAGTGCATAATTCAACACCCAAATCTTTGAGATTTGCTTGAATTATTTTGATGTCACCGGCAAAGCTGCTGTTTTTTTAACCTATATTATTGCAATTAGCCTCATCCCAGTTCACCTACCATTGTGATGTACTAGAGACTTTTCAAAGGGAATTTCTAATTTACTTAACCTGTTAACTGACATCACTATTATGTAGTCTTAAACGATATTGTAAAGTCCGAGTGAGAATTTTGACTAAATTATTGTGTTAGTTTCTTGATGTTGCCATAGTCAAGTGGCTTTAAAAAATAGAAATTTATTCTGTCACACTTCTGAGGGCTAGACGTCCTCAAGGCGTCAATAGGGCCATGCTCCCTTGGAAGTCTCTAAGAAAGAATTCTTCCCTGCCTCTCCTAGCTTCTGGTGGCTCCTATAAATCCTTGACATTCTTGAGCTTGTAGATACATCACTTTAAGCTGTTTGTCTTCACATGGCCTTCTCTGTGTGTCTCCTCTGTGTGTCTCCTCTTATAAGGACACCAGTCTTTGGATTTACAGCCCAGTATACTGGATCTAACCCAGTATAAGCTCATTTAATGTGAATATATCTACAAAGATCCTGTATCCAAATAAATTTACATTCACAAGTATCAGGAATAAGAACATTATCATATCCCTTTGGGGGATACAGTTTAATCCACTTTAGTCATATAAATAATGATCCTTAACTTCCACCTGCTTCATTTATAATAGCTACTGTGTAGTGAGTGCCTAGCATGTGCCAATTTGAATCCTTTTTTAAACCTATATAAAAATATACTATAATTCCAATTGCACACAAAGAAACTGAGTTTTAGATACCTTACCCAAGACCAAAAAGCTTGTGAATGGCAAAGCCAGTATTTGAATTGAGCCCTTTTCCAAAGCCCATACACTTTTTCCTGTGTGATCTTCATGAATTAAAGGGAACATGAAGTGCTTATATTTGGTTTTGTGGTAGACTCACTCTAAATAAAGATGAGCTATATATGTAAAACTTCATATGTAATAAAAGAAAACAATGTATAATCAAATCCATGAATGAACACTACACTGAATACAGACCCTAAATTTGGAGGTACCCTGAAAGACAATGGTATCACTTGAAGGTTCCATCCAATGTCCACTTTTATGGTTTCAATGTTACTGCATATTTTAAAGAGATATATGTTAAAGGATATTTATAAAGCAGACCAGTGAAATTTGTGAGGTTGAAATAGCTGAACACATCATTTCAGAAAGATCTTACAAGGATAATTTTAGACATGGGCACTCTGTTTATATTAATATGTGTTGTATTTTCAAATTGCTATGGTGTAAAATTTCTAAATCAACATTATGCATGCTGATGCTTCAAGTACTTTATGAAAACAGTTTATTCTATCTCCAAGTGAAAAAGGTAGAATAAAGTTTTTTGTTTGTTTTATTTAACTTTTATTTTTGTTGTTGATATATTTTGTTAAAACACACCGATCAACCAACTGTTTGATTGGTGTTGACAGAAACCCACAGACAAGTTATGAGAAGAGGGGTGCATGTGCAGGTTTGTTACATAGGTAGACTTGTGTCATGGGGTTTTGTTGTACAGATTATTTTATCAACCAGGTATTAAACCTAGTACCCATTAGTTATTTTTCCTGATCCTCTCCCTCCTTCCACCTCCACCCTCCAATAGGCCCCAGTGTGAGTTGTTCCCCTTTATGTGCTCACATGTTCTCATCTCATCATGTAGCTCCCACTTATAAGGAAGAACATGCGGTATTTGGTTTTCTGTTCTTGTGTTAGTTTGCTAAGGATAATGGCCTCCAGCTTCATCCATGTTCCTGCAAAGGACATAATCTCATGTAAAATGAGTTTTAAACATTATTTCCTTATTATACAATTATTATAAACAAAATATTCTTATGAGACAGTGCATTTGTTTGGTTATTATAAGTAAAAATGGGCATTTCAAAATTCTATTTCTTGGCCATTTACAATTATTTTTTTGCCTGTTTATGTTCTAAGCTCTTTGTGTAATGTGTATGTTGAAGGGATGCCTGGTTTTTTCCCTGCACGTTTTGCATGAACTCTTTCTACATTAAGGATATTAACCATCTGTCTAGACCTGTTGCTTAATATTTTTCTATGCTAACCTATTTCCCTTTAACTTTGTTTATGGTGCTTTTATCTTAACTCTCCCTCCCCATTTTAATTCTTATATAATCAAAGTTATTGTTTTGTTTCTTTATGGTTCTCTTTTTAAGGTCTTGTTTAAAAAGTCATTCCATACCTCAAGGTTATATAAGTATTTTTCTAGTATTTTTATGGTTTTAACCATTGTCATGATCTTCTTCATAATTATTATTTTACATTTCAATATTTGATCCATGTGCTGAATGATTTCATTCTCATTAAGTACCAGGAAGAAATACTGTTCTCCTTAAGTAAAGTAGCAACTATGATCTGCCAGACTAGAGAAAGATGCTCCTTGCCAAGAAAGCTGCTGCAGAGTCTCACTGAATCTCAGATTCTTCTGCCTGCATTTAGTAACACGAGATAAAACCCATATGCTGTCAAATTGCTTTCCTCATCCTGGTCTCAGTTTCTCTATTATTGAACTGTGAAGTATTGCACTTGTCTCTAATTCTTCAGAAGTTATTGTACATCAAACAACCGCCCCTTGATTGTGCCATTTATTAGTTAAGAGTACTAGATCATGTTTAATACAACAGATGAGGAGAAATTATGAGCGCTTAGCATAGCCTCTGAGCCTGTTTGCTAATGTATAAAGTGGAGATGACAATACTCCAGGTTGATATGAGGAATAAATAAAATGATTTATGCAAAGCAAATAAGAGTTGAAATTACTGTTAATGTTATTAATGTTATTAATATTTTTCAAGTCTGATAAAAGATTTGGCTTTGGGGAGTTTTTAATATCCACTAAGTTAGGCCTTATTTTTTGGATTTCAATTATCTGTACTAACTCTGTTCCTATTGGAGGGTTAATATAGATCATGTGGGGACATTGGTATTTAACTCAAGGAAATTGGATGTGTTTACAGTAGCTAAATAAAGTAGGGTTCGATGAAAAAAATGCACTTTAAAAAATTCATCTTGGGGCACAGCCACCAAATACTATTATCTAAAAATGGTTGGAACAGAGAGGAAGAACAATAATAACCTAAATACTTGAAAACATCACCTAGGGACACTTAGAGAATGCTTGAATACATTTTATTTTGCAATATTTAGTGTTTTATAACAATTTTCTTTGCATTATGTGTTTCAAAAGATAGAATGCAGATGGTATTACAATTTATACCTTTTTCATTTTTATTTTTTAAGAACTGAATTGCAAGATTGAATCAGACAACTTAATCATCTTCTTAAAGACTAATAACAAAATAGATAAACCAGGTGGAGAATATAAACTACTGCATTCACTGGAGCATATACAAATTCTTAATTTTACTGGAAATTTCATTTGAGTCAGCAAAAACATACAAGGGCTTTGTTCTCTGAACCAATCCAAGCACATTAAGTCAATAGCAAACAATTGAGCAACTGTCACTCTCCTGTAACTTCATCTATCAGAAATAAGCTTTAATTACAGTCTTCCACAGCGCTTATTCAGTATTCTAAAACTACAGTTATAAAAGGATATTGTCAGAGGTGAGTAGGATTTATTAACTTATTATTTTTATTAATCTTATTTACCAGTAGGCTTCATTGCCCTTCACAACCCTTCAGAATAAAAACTGTCTCAGATCATGCTGGAATCTTTTAAAGTTTATTCACTACACCAGGAAAATCTTAATTTCATAACTCATGTGTGTGTGTTTGTGTGTGTGTATGTGTGTGTGTGTTTCTGTTTTAACTATTGAAGATATTTGCTTCAATATTTGCTTCCTCTATTCCCTAAAATCAAGTGTGTTTTCAGATGGTTATATTTTTCAGTCTACATAATATTCTGTATTATATAAAAATTTCCCCATGTTAATCATGGGCATTATTAATTAAAAACCACATGCTTAGTAATTAGCCTGTAGGGTTTGTCCTCCTGCCAGGACAGGGAAGAATCCCTGGATGGAAGACTTCACACTGACTAAGCTGATGCTGTGCTTGCTGTTAGCCAAAAGGCCAAGCAGTAAGGCAGCCAGTTGGCTGGAATTTAGCAGTCCGTCAAATGGTTTAGTCCCTGCTGGATGTAAAGTCATGGAGTAGATGCCATGGGGGCTCTGTGATGAAGCAGAAGACATAAAAAGAGGTTCAAAATCTAATGAAGCGAAAGGACTATTGAAAATGGAAATAAACAATTATACAACTAACAGAAATGATGAATAAATGATTGGTTTTAGCGATTAAATATTCCGTACTATGTAATTGTTGAGTATTATAGACACAGTCAAATTTGCGTTTTTAAAAATTCTTCTTTGGGCAGTTTTTTGCTTCAGGACTTAGAGCTAGACTACCTTTAGCCATCTTCAACTAATACTGCTGATTGCCTGCCTAGTGGCTGCTCCTCTCTTCCTCCCTCCAACCAGAATTCCAGGGCTGTTCAGGCATCTATTTCTCCCCTGACAGCCCGTGGAACTCAGGGGAAGCTGAATCCATCTTTAGCTTGAAGGGACTCCAACTGCCATTGGTCCAGCTGTGGTGGGCATGTGACCAAGTTGGACCAATCAAATGAAAAGAAAGGCTTTCATTCCACGCTGGGGAAAGAGTCTTTCTCTTTCAGCCGAACATGAATAAGGAAGGTTGGGTCCCAGCTGCTGCTGGCAGCCCTCCTGCAACCAAGAAGAAAACCAGCTTGAAAACAAAGCTGACATATACTGAAGGCATAAGACAAAGAGAAATGCCAAAAGTTGGAGCTGCAGCCCTGCCTGTGGAAGGTCTTAGGTATGAGGTTATCATACCTAAGGCTCTGTTATGTGAGATAATATATTTATAGCTTTTAAAAGTCAGTTGTAGTTGGAATTTCTGAAAGGATCCTAACTTCTGTATCACCTTATAAGGAGGCATTTATCATTGAAGGCAATTATGTACTGCATTTTACATAGCATTTTAATTCATTGTATGATTCTTGGTATGTCTTTTTTAAGTACACATTTATGGGGTACATGTGCAATTTTGTTACATGCATAAATTGTGTAGTGGTCAAGTCAGGGCTTTTAGGGAATTCGTCACCCAAATAATGTACATTGTACCCATTAATTACTTATTATCCACCCCTCACTCTTCCAAGTCTCCATGTCTTTGAAAGCTGCCTGACTTGGCAAGCCTGCTGTCTACTAAAGAATGCTAAAACATCTGGACAGGTAATAATAGATGTGTAGGTAAATAACAGGCAATCTCTATAAAGTATTTAGGTTTTTTAAAAAGCAAAGATAAATGCGACATAATGTCATGTAATTATGCATTATTTTTACTTGTTGGGTCTCCAAACTCAACACATAATAAGAATATGTCCTTCATACCATGCACTTGACTTAATAGAGAGCATCGGGATTTCAGTTTATGTTAAATATAATCCTCAAAATCTAAAAGGAAAAGTCTTCAACCACTCTAATTCTTTCTTTTCAATCAAAGTTTTACATAGATCATGTTGATGCAGGTAAAAGGTGAGACTCATAGTTATGCACCAGGCTAGAAAAATTGCTCTAGCCCAAAAGATTGAAAAGGCTTCACATGGCTGATACACACACCAGAACAGAAGCATGCCTGGTTGAGAGCTCATTTGCATGAACTCTTGCTCCCCAGGTAGCGATCCTAGCTACTAGAAGAGTAGGCTGTCTTTCTCCATGGGTTCTGGGGCTCCTCTGAAGACTGACCTTTTCCAATTGCAAATCCAGTATCATATTCTGTAATTTGTGCAGAATGGTAAACTGGAGGTCATTCACTTGAGTGAGATCTTGGGGTAGACTGGGCTTTCTGGGCACTTTCTAGTACTCTTTGACCTTGAGTTAAGACTCATCAGATACACACTATTCATGTTGGAAGATGTGGTTCAGTGACTTGCTTATATAAAGGATATATCTCTGAAATTAGGCAAAATATAAGAGAAACTAAATTTAGAACATCTCATTCAGAAGGGAAGTGGACTATTGTTTTCTATATCAATTGTGAGGGTACTTCTGGCGATATGTGTATATTTCATTGGGTAACTCGGGAAAGTGAATATGTTATTGGAAATAAACCTTCAGACTATTTTCATTCGTTAACTCTACCGTTACAGATTTATTGAGCATTAACTTCACATCCTGTATTGAGCCAGAAGCTGAAGATTTGTAAAATAATCGTCATGGTCCCCACACTCATGGTGATTATGGTCTGGTGAGGAAAGCAGACAGAAATCAGATGATCATACAGGCAAAGATAATATTAGCTCTGTTTAAGTTCTGTAATAGAAAGTTATATGGTGCTAAAGAGCAGAGAGAGAGTGTGCTAGAGAAAATTATTAACAGACTGATCACAGAAGTCTTCTGGGGAAGTTCACAAGGAAAAGGAAGGAAAAAAATATACAGCGAAATGAAACATCCTGTGCAAAGGCCTGGTGGTTTGTGGTTGAGGGAATTCATCTTTACATTGTTACCATTTAGTTGATTATTTGGCATGTAGTAAACACTCAGTAAATGTTTCATAAGTGAATGAGTAGAATGGCTTAGCATATATTTTATCTTTTAACCATTGCCTTCTGAAATGAAGTATCCAACAGCAATTTTTCATTAATTTATTCACATGGTGGGTGTTCAATACATATTTATGGAATGACTAAACAATTTTTAAAAGCTTTTTTATACCGTCCAGCCCACAATGATTTATAACTCATTTGAATTCCTGTATAGAAATATTTAGAAATATAGTTAAAACAAATTTATTTACATTAAATATAATTTATTCACATTAAATATAATTTATTCCTAAGTATAATTTAAATATAATGTTTTATAAATTATTAAATTATATTTAATATTATTTACTATAAATTATTACATTATATTTAATATAACTTATAAATTTTATTCATTTAGGAATAAACATTTATTTGTTTTACCCATTTATTATCAAGAGCTGTTACACAGGATGAGTCAGAACTCTTCTCCACCCTGAGGCTCTGAGACTCTGAAACCCAAAAAACTGTTGGTTGAATCTGAATATAAGAGTGAAGGAATGAGTGAATGAACAAATAAATGGAAATAAAGTGAAAAGGCTGTGCTGAGAAGGTTTCAGCAAGCTTTTCTCTTCCCCCAGTTTATCCATGGAGCGTTTCTTCTCTGTACGCTCTGAATTCAGGTCAAATCTTGCTTCTGGTCAGTTCAATATGAATTCATAACTTTCCTCCCCCCAAAAGAAATTGAAAATAAAAGGACAAAGGCAGATAGAGGAAACACTCTTTCAAATGTAATTCACAGAGAATATGCCTCAGAATCACTGTGGAACTGTGGATAGAGTAGGTCGTGCTGTGAAGAGGCTTTTTAAAAATTCAGATTCTGGGTTCTGGCTCAGATATTCCATGTCAGAATGTCGGGGTTGGGGGGAATATCACAACAAAGTGAATCTGCAGTCTTAACAAGCTTTCTTAGAAATTCTCACACTAAAATCTGAAACTGGTACATTCTCTGACTAAAAGGTGAGAATTGACCTTCCCTTTAATGAGGATACTTAGTCTAGGGCACTGTCCATGGTTCCAGAGATGGTTCTGTGGCTCCAGTGCAGAAAAATCCAGAAATTGACCACAGGGAATCCATTTCCACTGGGAGGTTTCTGCTTCTGAACTAAATTGCACACACAGTCTATTATTAATATGTAGGGAGTTAGAGGTAGGAATTCTGGATTTCTAGATGAAGCAAGCTTTAAGGAATAAAAATATGACTGCTCTGAATTTAGAGTGGTTTATAGCATACAAGGATTTTAGGACTAGAAAATAGAGCTAAAACATTTGCACTAGCAATGAAGCGAGGGTCCTGGCTGTGGTCTGATAGGATTTACATGGGAGATGATAAACCTGCAACTATAGCCACCATTCTCTATCCATGGGAAGAACAGACAGAGGAAACAGAACTACGGCAGCATGAATTTGAGTTCAGTATAATGTGTACTTTCCAGATCCTGACACTTAAAAATGCTGAATTGAGTTTTCCAGAGAGGGAAGTTTTAGAGTCTCTATCATTCAATGTCTTTTTCTTTGTTTGTTTTTGAGACAGGGTCTCCCTCTGTCACCCAAGCTTGAGTTCAGTGGTGCAATCATGACTCATTGCAGCCTCAACCTCCCAGGCTCAAGTAATCCTCCAGCATACCTGGGACTACAGGCGCATGCCACCACACTTGCGTAATTTTTAAATATTTCTGTAGAGATGAGGTCTTACTATTTTGCCAGGCTGGTCTTGAACACCTGGACTGAGGTGATCCTCCTGCCTTGGCCTCTCAAAGGGCTGGGATTACAGGTATGAACAACTGCGCCCAGCCCAGTCAATGTCTTTAAAATGGGACAGATATAAACATGTCTGGGGTGTTTGAGGCGAGGCATTGTTGTAAGGTAGAGGCATGGGCTCGATTACATTTCAGATCCTCTATGGTCTCTAACTTTATAATTTGAAGTATTTTCATAGTAATATTTTACAGATAATATGATGACAAACAAGGTCTATACAGACAAATGGGTAGAAATTCAATGAATACAGAAACTTTCCAGTAGGATCCATTTGGGAATTTGCATTCTGTAAGTTGCAGGGACAAAAATTAATTTTAGCTTCCATGTCTCTGCTTCATTAACTTGATCATGGGCAAAATGAGATTTCTGATTTTCACCTACAAAATGGCATAGAAGCTAGTGGTTAATTGTATGTCCTATTATCAAATTTACAAGCAGGTGTATTCAATAAGCAAATGGATGACTTTTTTTCTAAGTTTGCTTCTGACAGTCTGGAAAAAGAGTCATTTTATGGATTTCTTTTTGTTTTCTGGAATTTTTTATATGACATAGAGTTTAAAATAGTGCCATACTAAAACCTAAAGTGTAGTAGATAGAGAACTTGATCTGCAAAAATAGAAGCAACAGTAGCAGACAGGTTGATTTTAAAATTTCTGTCTTAGAAAAATATTTATAAATTTTAAATAGTGAATCTCTCCAAGTCATTGTGAAATGTGCATTTTTACTTTAATATCATTTAATGTGTTCAGTTTTCAACTGGGGAGCCATTTAAACATATACACATTATTTAATTTCAAAACCATTTATTTGCATATTTTGATGGTGGTGTATAACAGTCAATCAAATGTTATCTATTTTGTAAACATTCCTCATGCCTCATTTGGAAAACTATTCAGATATATGTCTAGGTGAGATGTGTAGTCATTGGATTTTATAAATCATGTTTCTAACTCCAAGTTGTGGCAGAAGCACATGCATGTCTTCAAGGCCTGTGGCTGATCGTTGTTGAATGAGACCCTGACTGATGAGACACATCTTTAAGAGAATTCCAGGGACCTCCAACCAAACTCTGAAGGCATGTGGTTTTTATGCAGCCACCAGCCTCTTTAGAACTTGGCTTCCAGCTGGGTTCCTGTGTAAGATAAAAATCCTGGCGCAGCATCTCCCCTCTTAAGTTTCTGGCAGGTGTGTGCTAGATCCAGCCTACTAAATACTGCGTAATTAGAACGCCTTGGGCAATCACTGTCATCCTACATCTGTAAGGCAGTGAGGGCAGTGTTAGCATGACTGTGCTCATTTCTTTAACATCCCATGCTTATAGACCCAAACACAGCTGCCTGAAGGGCCTGTGTTTGATGCATGAACTATAGGAGGACCTCAGAAATGAGTCTAATTATATCAGTATCTGAATGCTTTGCGGAGGCAAGATGCATTATTCATAAGACTGCACCTCTGTATAAGGAAAAAATAGTCCATCATATGTACTGCCACTTTTTAAGCAGCACTGGTCAATTTTTATGTTTATTATGTTTATTATCTGCCTTCCGAACACTGGACTGTCAGTTGCTAGAAGGCAAAGAAATTTTTTCTGTTTCAGTTAGTGATGGAGCCATAACTACTAGAACAAAGCCTGGTACGAAGTTGGGGATCAAGGAATAAATAAATGAATATTAGCTTTTAATATTTACCATGAAATTAGGTTGGTTATAGACAAACCATGTGTGTCTAAACTATTCTATCCAATGTAATCAAGTGAGGGAAGCATCTTCCTCCTAAACTTTGTATTGAATATATTATTATCAGGTAGCCAAACGTCACCAAGAAAGTGAAGAGAAAAAGGCAATATACTGTTTGTGGAAACTGTTGATCTGAAGAGCTCCAAATTCCTGAAAAAGAGCTGAATTTGAAGATGCCCAGCCTGGAGTATGTGTATATTTTTAGTGATTACTGCATTAAAAGAATAATAATGAAATAAAATTATATCAATATGATGTCACTTCATAATGACTTAATTGCTAACCTCAGCCTGTAATTATTTTCATAGTTAACATTGCCATGTCATATCTACAGTGTTATCTATCTTTTTTAATATATGCATTAAATAGAATTTTGGTTTTTAACTTTGTTTTATGCCCCTTTGTAGAGAAAAAGCTTTATTACTGCAACTAAGAATAAGAACGTAAAATGTCCATAAATTTCTAAAAGAATAGTGTGTGCATTACTATTTTAACATAATTTTGGATTAAACCTATTGTTATTAGCATTTCAGACTATTTGGTGTGTATGCAAATAGTCATTTTTCTGAATAAAATACCTATAAAAGTAAAAATCTCTTTCTTACAAATATATTCATAGTCCCATAACCATGAATAATATATATTTGTTCATTGTTTCACTTCAGATTCCTCTCTTGCTGTCAGACAATGAACAAATATATATTGCTTATCATATTATCCCTCAGTTTTATCTTTCATTTCCTCTGGTCCTTACCTCATTCACTTACTTCCTTATGAGTGTGATTAAAAACACACACACCATCTTTAAAGGCTCAGAAGACATAGGAATTATCTGAAATACCAAAGAGACCTTAAAGTCCAGCCAGGCCAGCTATTTTAATTTAAAGAAGCTAAAGGCCAGAGAAATGAGGGGCCAAAGGTTGTGCAGTTACTTCATGATAAGATGGGCCTGAGGTGTCGCGGTATTTTGGCAAAGGCTAATTTCCTTTGCTTTTCCTTGGTGACCCCTTGGCATTTAGCTGAGAATATGAGGGGAGCTGAATTAATACTGGCTGGTTTACATTGAGCTGAGTTAGAATACATTCCTTTGCATTTTATATGGAATTTAAAATAGTCAACCTGTTTCTTATTAGCAGTCTGAAAAACATCTTTAAAGACCATGCATGGATGTGGTATTAAGCATAGATACAGCATGATTAAGGAATGTGAATATTTATTGCTAGACAAACTGCTGAAGTATAGATATCAGGGCATTTTCCCAGTTAATTATTGATGGTCAGGAGCAATCACAGGAGACAGAGAATGAACATCAGAGGGGGATAAAAGGATTGGAAAAATTACAAATGGTCACCATAGAACTCTCAAGCAAGCAGAACTTTATACAAAAAGAGATTAACAATTTGAATGAAGTTGGTGGGAACCGTTTTGGCATTTACTCTTCACAATTTATATAAGTGGGTTTTGACATGTTTGCTTCTTAACTCTATTCCTTTAGACATCCTTCCAGTCTGTTCCAGCAATGCTGTAGTTTTACAATTTTATTTTTTGGGACTCTCAAGCTAGAAGTCTACATTTTAAACTCTTTTTAAATTGAGTAATTATTTTCATTATATATATATATATATAATTTCAAGTTTTATAAAGCAATGAAGGATTTGGAGGTTGGTCTGGTGCTGTTTATACTTCTTTATAAAAATATATAGGTGATAAAAACTTTACTATTTAAGCTTTACACACAGGCAAATGCAGGTCAGAAATGCTTTGCATAAAGAGGTCTTTCCTAACTTCAGTCGCATCTGTGTGGTGAGGACTGATTGACTGAGGGAAAGAGAATAGCTCCCCTAGCTCATCGGAATCCCCAGAGACATCTCAGCTTGCATCTAGGAGGTCAAAACTCCTTGATGGTCCGATTGTGACTTGACACAGGAGGCTGATGAAGAAAGAGCAAGGTGATCCCCTGAGGGTCTGGGACACAGCTCAGGACATTTTTTCTAACTTACAAAAAAACAAGAAAATGTCACTTGATTTGCTTTGAATCTGACTCTGTGCCAAGAAATCAAGGTGAAATTTGACAAACTTTTTATGTATAAACATCTCAGAATTATTTTCTAGTAGCTTTATTTTCTAATTTGAACAGAAGTTCTAATACGGCATTTGACAGCAGTTGCTTTGAAATAGAATTTAGGAAGTAGAAATTTTGGTAGAATTTATTCTTTTAACAAATCTTTTCTGGATTCATTTACTATAACAAGTAATAAAGAGATAGAGAGATGAATGAGATAACACCCTTATAGAGATTTCACTGTAGTGCTGTATGTAGTGTTTTAGAACACAGTTGGTATTGTAAGGTAAGAAAAATAGAACTGATTATTATTGGTGCTAAAATGTCTTCAGTGATAATGAGATAAATTTTCCTGTAACATTTTAAACTAAACCATGAAAGAGAACACAATACTTGGAATATTGTGTACACTTATTCCTCCCTTTCATTTCTTCGTGCCTTGCCTTTCTTCCCTGCTTGCTTGTAGCTCTAGCTTTTAAGCCACCTTTAATTCCTTCTACTTTGTACTCTTGGGAGGGCCTGCACTTTGAAAATACTTGACATTCAGGAAAATACACTTTATATGTTAAAAATCAATGGTGACACAATATTTACAGCCCAAAGGCCAAACATTTGGAGTTTCTTTATAGAGAGTAAGTGCTCAGAGACCAGCTTTGTGCTACTAAGCTGTAGACATCAAAGAATAATACAGCAGTTTTCAACTTGATGGCCCGAATGGGCTTTAGCCCAGTGAAGTGAAGTATTGAGCTATTTCACAGATCTGTAATAGAGAGCCAGTGTGGGAATCCTTATTTTATCTTAATTACTAAGGAGCCCTTTATGTCTCAGAAGTCCCCATGTTTTGTTTCAAAACTTCTATCTGGAGAATGAGTTTATAGACTTGTGTCTACAAAAGAATGACAATACTTTGAATTAGGTTTTAAGAAGATTCAAAGTGCAGCCAGAAGGGGAATTCTTTTGCTAGTCCCTGCTACATTGCAGCGTTTCAAAGAAAGCTTATGGTAGGTCTATGATTTAGCAGAAAGAAAAGAAAATGTATTCGTTGGCAACTCCCATGCCACCTAGCAAGTTTAATTTTCTTGGGTTAAGCACACACACAGATGAGTACATGTGCACACACACACACCCCAAAGCATTTATTAGCTCATTAGAAGCTGTATTATGTGTCTGGGTGAGGAGTATTATTTGTTGTGTACATTTGACCCTTCATTGTTATTAGTTGCTCTTTAGCAGAAAGCCTCTCTTTCAGCAGAAAGAGTGAGGATGGCAATAACTATTACTAAGCTAATAATAATTACAAGGACCAAACATGATTATTGATGGCTCTTCCATCTTTCATATGTGTGTGCTCTGGGTAATACTGATATGCTACTTCTGTTATTGGGCATGAACTTTCTGTGACCTATCATTTATCATCAGATGAAGTTCAGCCCAGCCTAATAGTTACATTACGTAACAAGAGCTTTCTGGTGGTGAAAGAAATCCACTTAAACCACTGATGTGCTAGGGTTTCATACGGATTGTGGAGTGTTCATTCTCTTTACTTGTAAAAGAGACTTAGAGGGGGCTATCTGAGTATTCACCTTGGAGAAAACTGTTGATGAAGCCAGATAGCGCTGATAAAGGATGGCTTTGGGAATCACTCCAAGCCTGCAAAACCTGGAGCATTTAGGAAACAGGAACCCCTCAAAGTGTCAGGAATATAACGATCAGAGAAAGGATCTAGAGATTTTCTAGTACATTTGCCCCTCATTTTTTGGATGATGAGGCTGACAGTCTCAAGGTCACACATCTTTGTCATGCCTTTTTCACCAAACTACATTGTCTCTCAGGGAGGACAGGAAGGACATGACCTATGATCAGTGTCTCTGGGACATCTAGGATACAAGTGCCTCTAAGATCACTGCCAAGCCAAGAAGTATGTTTTTTAGGTCCTTCCCTGAAATTATAGTAGAGAGTACATTAGTAAGGAAGCAGCTGGCTCTGGGGTAAGGTGGGACTGACTGCTTCCTTGGCATTCAGATCATATAGTAATAGCATATGGGGGTCTTGGATTGGCCTCACAAAGAATCCATCAGCGGCTATGTCCCACTCTTCTATGGAGATGGATGGTACACCTAGTGTGCTAGTGTGTTTGGGTGAATGCACTGTCACCAGAAGACCAATGGAAACTATTGAAACTACACATATATGAAGATGGCTTTTTTGGGTGGCTGTAACCATCATGGACAAGTCTTTGTGTTGTTTCCCTGAATGCTGGTGTTAGGTTGTGTTCTGAACCTTAGGAAGTTCTTTTATTCCAGCAGGCTTTGAACGTCTAGGTCCCTGAAGTCCAGAGGCCAGAAGCACTTGCCAATGGGTAATTATGCCCCCTTGCTGTGCACAAGTAAGAAAGTAGCAAGCAATTCAGAGGCTGCAGTGCAGAAGGCAAGGCATCTGCATCCCTGAGGTCCATCTTAAGGAGTCTCCTGAAGGCATTCCCGGGCAATCTGGAAGGTTGGGAGAGGGGTGCTGAGGATCTAGCCACTGGTAGTAAGACTTCCTAGCTAGAAAACTATTTATTTGCTAGCGCTGGCATAACAAACTGAGTGGCTTAAACAACAGAAATAATCTATTTATTTATTTTTAAATTACAGGTAATAATTGCATATATTTGTGGGGCACAATGTGATGTTTTGATATGTGTTTACATTGTGTATCACTACAGCTGACTAACATCCGTCACCCCACATACTTATCTTTTTTTGTGTGTGAGGTAGAAACATTTAAAATCTACTTTTTCAGCAATTTTGAAATTTATAATACATTAGTTTTTTTAAACTTTTTAAAAATTGTACTTTAAGTTCTGGGATACATGTGCAGAACGTGCAGGTTTGTTACATAGGTATACACGTGCCGTGGTGGTTTGCTGTACCCATAAACCTGTCATCTACATTAGGTATTTCTCCTAATGCTATCCCTTCCCTTGTCCCCCACCCCCGACAGGTCCCGGTGTGTGATGTTCCCCTTCCTGTGTCCATGTGTTCTCATTGTTCAACTCCCACTTATGAGTGAGAACATGCAGTATTTGGCTTTCTGTTCCTGTGTTAGTTGCTGAGAATGATGGCTTGCAGCTTTATCCATGTCCTTGTAAAGGACATGAACTCATCCTTTTTTTTTTTTAATTATTATACTTTAAGTTCCAGGGTACATGTGCACAACGTGCAGTTTTGTTACATAGGTATATATGTGCCATGTTGGTTTGTTGCACCCATTAACTCGTCATTTACATTAGGTGTTTTTCCTGATGCTCTCCCTCCTCCAGCCCCCCACCCCACAACCGGCCCAGGTGTGTGATGTTCCCCTTCCTGTGTCCATGAGTTCTCATTGTTCAACTCCCACCTATGAGTGAGAACATGCGGTGTTTGGTTTTCTGTCCTTGTGATAGTTTGCTTAGAATGGAACCCATCCTTTTTTATGGCTGTGTAGCATTCCATGTTGTATATGTGCCACATTTTCTTTATCCAGTCTATCACTGATGGGCATTTGGGTTGGTTCCAAGTCATTGCTATTGTGAACAGTGCAGCAATAAACATACATGTGCATGTGTCTTTATAGTAGAATGATTTATAATCCTTTGGGTATATCCCCAGTAATGGAATTGCTGGGTCAAATGGTCAAATGGTATTTCTGGTTCTAGATCCTTGAGGAATATTATGGGCACCATGATGTGTAATAGATCTTTAAAATTTATTCCTCCTAACTGAATCTTTGTATTCTTTGAACTACATCTTCCCATCCCCTTCCATCCCACAGCCTCTGGTAACCACAGTTCTATTTTCTACTTCTAAGAGGTTGACTTTTTTAGATCCTACATATAAGTAAGATCATGCAGTATTTCTATTTGTATGCCTGACTTATTTGTCTTAGCATAATATCCTTTGAGTTCATCCATAAAACAACAGAAACTTATCGTCTCACAGTTCTGCAGGCTAGAAGTCTGAGATTAAAGTATCAGGGGGTTTGCTTCCTTCTGTGAAGGAAGGATCTGTCCCAGGCCTCTCTCCTTGGTGTGAAGACAACTGTCTCCTCCCGTGACTTTTCCTAACGCCTTCCCTCTATGTGTGCGCCAATATTTTCCCATTTTTCTAAGGACTAGCCATTTGAGATTAGGGTCTCCCACTTCCAATGGCCTAATTTTAACTTGGTTACTTCTCTGAAGACCCTATATCCAAATAAGTTTACATTCTAAGTTACTGGGAGTTAGAATTTCAAAATATGTGGGGAGGAGGGATGCAATTCAATCCATAACAGGAACCTTGCCCTGGTATCTCTGAGGTTCATTTCTATGACTGATGGTCAGAGGCTGTGTTTGGATTCCAGAGATTTTCTTGAATGTGTGTGCATGTGTGTGTGTGACTGCATGTCTGTGCACATGTGTGCATGTGTGTGTGTGCACGTGGACATGCACTAGCTGACCTCTTCCTTAGGGTGGGGTTCCTGGTCAGTCTGTATTCTTCCACAGCTTTCACCCATCTGAAAGCAAATCAGTTTCCTTTTTCAAAATGGAAAAATATCTCTTTCTCCGTGTCCTTTTAAACCCCCCTCCCCACGCTCCTTTTCCTTCTTACTGTGTGCCTTAGGCCATTCAGGCTACTATAACAAAATACTATAAACTGTGTAACTCATACACAACAGAAATGTATTTCTTACAGTTCTGGAGGCTAGAAAGGCCAAGATCAGGAAGCCAGCAGATTCCAAGTCTGGTGAGGGCCTCCTTCCTAGCTTATAGATGCTGCCTTCTTGCTGTGTCCACACATGGTAGAAGGGGCTACCTCCCTGGGGTCCCTTTTATAAGGGCACTAATCCCATTTGTGACCTAATCACTTCCTCAAAGCCCCCCTCGCAATACCATTACTTTGGGGATTATGACTTCAACATAGGAATTTGGGGGGACACAAATGTTCAGACCACAGCATCATCTCTTTTCTCTGACTTCCCTCACTTGCTTTTATTTATTTATTTATTTATTTATTTATTTATTTATTTATTGATACAGTCTCGCTCTATCTCCCAGGCTGGAGTACAGTGGCACGATCTTAGCTTACTGCTACCTCCACCTCCCGGGTTCAAGCAATTCTCATGCTTCAGGGTACTGAGTAGCAGGGACTACAGGCGTGTGCCACCACGCCCGGCTAATTTTTGCAATATTAGTAGAGGCGGGGTTTCACCATGTTGGCCAGGCTGGTCTCAAACTCCTGACCTCTGATGATCTGCCCGTCTCAGCCTCCCAAAGTGCTGGGATTGCAGGCGTAAGCCACCACACCCAGCCCCCTTACTTATTTTCTAATATATCCACATTGTGCTGTTTGTGTTTTGATTCTTTCACTGTCCCTCATATTCCTTCTTTCATCATCATAATTAATTTTTAAATGTTTTGTTTCTTCATTTACTAACATTACATTCCTATTGGCTCAGATAGTTTTCTTCTGATTTCACTCTCCTTTAAGTATTTTTTTTATTTTTATTTTTTTACTCCATGGGTCTCAGAAAGACTGAAGAAAGACCTGAAAAATGTTTATTCATTTATATTACTGGATTGTGAAATTTTTATTCTTTCTACTGGAATGTTGTCTGTCCTAGATTTTAACTATCCAGAGAGTAACCTCCCACCATGTGTAGACTACCCATTAACAAACGCATTTTGTTGTCAATGGTTTGAAGCCTTGAAGATTTTGAAAAGAAGCTTAAAACAAGTTTAGAAAGAGGATGTTTCGTCCTGAAACTTCACTTGAGTTCACCCATCACTAGAGTTGAAAACATAGATACCACAGACTTGCTTGGCTTCCAGAGGAAGGCTACCTTCAAGTCATGATATTATTAGAAAAAAGCAGAACTAATTGTTGGATTTTTCTCATCCATTATTTTTCCTCCTGTCTCTCCTTTTTAGCTCCCAAAGCTAGTGTTCCATGATACATTGCTGGTAAATATTTAATTGCCATTCTCAGAAATGTGTTTTGCATTTTCATGTTACCCTCCTCATGGTGATGAAAGACAAGATGGGTAATATATGTGTGCCTGTGTCAGTGAGTGTGTACTCTAGGTATTGTCTTTATCATAAAAGATAATATATACATTAGATTTCCTGTAATAGAGAACTTCCTCGCCTGCTTCTTAATGAGAGGTGCTGATGCGAAATGACCCTAGCTTTCCTAAACACACAGCAATCTAATTTGAACCTGTATGCCAATTACAGGCCTCTGTGGAGCACTTTATGGTGCAACAATCACGTCACAATAGGATTAGAACACTATGCCCCAGGACCGCAAGGGAAGCCAGCCCGGGCATAACTGCAGGTTTATTCCTCTAAATTGTCTGTAAACAGCATTGATAGCCACCTTGGTGCCACCTTGGTATTGTTTCTATAAATCCTCCATAGAAACAATCTAAAATGAATAGACAACGAGTCAGTAATGGCCTGTTAGTTCCCAGCACAGGGTTGCACCACTGAACTGCCTCATGAATACCACTCATAGGGACTGATCTTGGGTAAACATTCACAAACGGCAGAGCAGACAGGCTCTATGACAACAATCAGGTTAGATAGTCTGAGAAATCATTGTGAATGGTGCCTTCCCCCTGATCTTTCCATGCAAAAATTAGCTTCAGAACTGAACCATTTTAGTTCTCTTAATAAGTTTATACAGTCATATACTTTGCACAGTCTCTTCAATTTCAATAAGAATTTTTTTGCAGTTACCTGACAATGCTAACTGCTTTTGACTAATGTAAAGAAAGCTAAAATTGTTATGTCTTGATCATGAGGACAGGTTTGAAGAAGATGATGAGACATGCAGAAGTCAAGCCACCAAACTGGAAATTAATCACCAGGTTGTGCTGGTAGAGTGGAATTAACTACAGGATGTACAGCAGATGATCATTGTAATGTGGCAATATTAAAGGGCCAATTATATACTCTTGTAAATTAAATCCAAGTAGAGTAAAATTGTGCCATTAAACTCTAAGGAAGTATTAGTTATTTTTCCCAATATAGTATAAAATCCCTGATATCAAACCTCACTTTTTCTTTCATACATAGAAATAAAAGTAAAATATTTCATTTGCCCTGCTGTATTGCTTAATATTTTTCTTCATTTAGGCTATTTATAGACATCCAATGTTTTGTTTTGTTTTTTGTCTGAACAGGCTAAAATAGTTTAGTAAAATAGAGCTACTATTCCATATGTGTTAGTGAGCTGCCTAAAACAATTTCTGTGTTCTTTATTTAGTGATGCTGGTTGACTACAAGAAGTATTTTTAATTAGAAGAGAATTTAAGAAAGAATATAATATATTTGGGGGAAAATGACATTCCATATTCCCTAGGCTGTTGTCATTTGGGTCTCTGATGATGGTTAGAGGTTTTTAAGAGCACTCCTACTTAGGTTTGGGTTTAGTGGCTTTTCTACCACCCAGGCAGGGAAATGAATAATGCTCATTCACTCAGAAGAAAAACTAGTGCCTTCTGTGTGTTAGTTACCACGGTAGACAGAAGGCCAGTTTTACCTCAAGGATGGTACAGACTTTTGGTCATTCAATAGTTGAGAGCATTTAGTTAATTCAGATTAAAAACAAAAGCAAAAACACAAATGAAAAGCTTATTTCATGCTTGAGAGTGAAAGTACAGTTTGGGTTGGAGTGATAACTCAGCTCCTTACTGTCCTGTATGGAAACATGCATGTTTTAACTCAGGCTGCCATAACAAAATACCACAGACAAGGCAGCTTAAACAACAGAAATTTACTTTCTCACAGCTTTGGAGTCTGGAAGTCTGAGTTCAGGGTGCCAACATGGTGGGATTCCAGTAAGGGATCTCTTCCTGGTTTTTTGACTGCCACCTTTTAACTGTGTCCTCCCATGGCCTGTCCTTGGTGTGTGCACAAGCGGGGAGAAAGTGATCTCACTCTGTTCCTTTTCTAATAAGGCCACCAATGCTATAGGATTGGGAGTCCACCTTTTGGACCTCATTTAAACTTATTTATCTCTTAAAAACCCCATCTCCAAATACAGTCATATTAGGGGTTAGGGCTTCAACATATGAATTTTGGAGATACACAACTTAATCCATAGCAGTGTATTATTTATTTCAAACTGTAGGTGAAATTTATTTCAATGGAAGATTTCCAATAGAAGCCAATCATTCATGTATTAAAAATAAGAGGGCTATTGTGTCCCCAAAATAGCACTTAGTTGGAAGTCGAAGATCTGAATTTGAGGACTGGTTGGGACATTTGTTGGCTGTGTAAAGTTGGGCATTCTAGACCCAACATAGTCAAAGTAGACACCTTAGTCTTACCTTACACATGTACATTTCTTTCACTTAATAATGAACACAATATTCTCCAGCTAAGGTGGAAAACCTGTTTTCATTCATTATTTTCCTTCTGTGAGCCCTAAATTCACTCAGTTGCAATGTCCTGTTGGTTCTATATGCGGCAGATCTTCTCCATCTACCACCCTTGTGTCCCCGCCACCCCCTGCCACCCACGGCCTCTATTGAATGCTAGTGTGATCTCAGACCAGACAATAATGGTTTCCTCACATCCTACCACCAGTCTTTTTCCACAGCTCAGGTGGTGTCCTTCCCTATTGAAAAATGTTCAACCAGTTCCCCATTATACAAAGACAAAGTCCAGACCTGACATCCCAGGTCTTCTAATAGTTGTCTCCAGCTCAGATTCCTCACTTAGGCTCTCACAACTCTTCTTCGTACTGCTATCGCCCCAGCAAACTCAGCTCATCACCACTTGATACGCTGTCTTTGCCCCTCCTTGGAGCTTCCATGATTTACCATTGTTGTACTCGTTCCCACTGTAATCAGTCAACATTCAACAAATATATGTTAGTGCTGTTTCAGTTCCTGTCTTAGCTGCTGAGGTTGTACAAAGGGATTGGACCTGGTCCTTTCAGAGTTCATTGTCTCATAAAACAGAGATAGACATGTAAACCAATAGTTACAATTTAATATGGTAGATAAGCGCTCAAAGCTGTAATGCTTGTCATAGCCATCCTCTCGTGTCTGTATCTTACTCATCCAGTCCTAGTCCACATGCTACTTAATCTCTTATTCCCTTCTCTTATTTCCATGGTGCTTATCTGTGCTTTTCTTGTAATCTTAATCACTTTCGTCATATTTTAAATGATTGTGTTCTCAAGTCTTGTTTTTCTCAATTAGACTTTAAGCTTCTCGCAAGCAATATCCATATTCCATATTAACCTTTGTGTTTCCATAGTGCCTAGTACAGACTTTTATCTAGTGCTCATGAATGTGCTGACAAAAATAATTCCTGAATTTGTGAAACCACACAATAAGACAGTGGACCCTTTAAATAAAACCACTTCCTTTGAATAATATGAAAATCTTTGTTGTTTTATCAGGTTTTAGCTTACTAATTTAGTTAAATAAAAGCCTGATTAGAGGTGTAGAAACATGCATTTCAAAATTAATTCCAAAGGTCGAACATTGCATACAAAACAGTACATGAAACACTAATTATTACTAATATGTTCTAGGCATTAAAAATACATTTGATTATGATATTCTTTGAAGTGCTTCTGGAGAGTATATAAGAAAAATAAAAGACTCTGGAGGCAAAGTCATATTCATTAAATATATAAAAAAAGGAAATATAACTTTTAACAAATATTTCCCACATTAAAGGAGTGTCAGCCCTTAGAAGTTTTTGTGGTTTTACTTGCAAGTGTTATTCACTTTGTATTTTAAATTAGAATTTTCCCTTGTAAAATCCTTTTCAAAAAAGGAAAAGGTTAATCTATACTCCCAGAAATATAAAATTATTATTTATTACTTGTTTGATACTGTAATAATTGTGAATAAGAACACAGTGAACTGGCACTATTTTTTTGGCAGAGAGACTTAGCATATATTCAAAACATTCGTATTTCATTCAGATAACTGACATAGACTTTCATAGCAACTCAGCTAAACAGTAACATATAATTACATGGTTTTTAAAAAAATATTTGGCTTTAATACATTAATTAATTAACTAATTTGAGACAGGGTCTCATTCTGTTGTCCACACTAGAGTGCAGTGGTGCAATCTCAGCTCACTGCAGCCTTGACCTCCTGGGCTCCAGTGATTTTCCTGCCCCAGCCTCTGAATAGCTGGAACTACACATGTGTGCCACCATGCCCAGCTAACTCTTTATTTTTTGAGGAGACAGGGTCTCACTATATTTCCCACGCTGGTCTTGAACTCCTGGACTCAAGTGATTTTCCCACCTCAGCCTCCCAAAGTGCTGGGATTACAGTCCTAGGCCACCGCAACCAACCTCTCTTTAGCAGACAAAAGAAAAGGGGGTATATATATAGTCAATTTTGCAACTCACAAAATTATTGTAATGCTTAGAAAGGCTAAATTTAGAAGTTTTGAAATTTTAGAAAAACATTTAAACATATGGAAAACATCACTCATAATCCCACTATATAGAAAGATTTAAAATGTTGGCATAAGTCCGCCCAGTCTTGTTTCTTTTTCTGTACATTAAAAAAATTGCATAATGAGTTTTATCTTCCTTCCTCTTTTCTGTTTTCTTCTTCAATATTTACTAGTGCTGCAAGGAATAGTAAGAGATGTGGATGTCAGGGACACAATATAAAGAAACTATACAAGGAACTTCACTGGTCTTTCTTTCCTGCCACCTCACACTTGATGTTCTCCAGGCTTCTGTGTTTGACAAACATCTGTGAAAAGTAATGTATGTGCTCAACTCTATGCTGATCTCTAGGTCTAGAATGATAAAACAATGTCCCTGCACTCAAGAATCTTGAGGGACTGTCAAAAATCAAGTGCCATGTGGCCATTCTTGCTTAAGGTCATAAGGCAGAGCAGCGCACAGAGGAAGAAGTAGTCAGTTCTTGTGATTTCAGATCATCTTGTGGTCTCACGTGAGCTAAATGATCTCATCTATTTTGTTAAGCTCAAAGCTATTTTGTTAATATTTACTTCCCA
Source organism: Homo sapiens (assembly GCF_000001405.40). Classification (NCBI taxonomy): domain Eukaryota; kingdom Metazoa; phylum Chordata; class Mammalia; order Primates; family Hominidae; genus Homo; species Homo sapiens. The sequence continues at coordinate 78,846,262 of NC_000013.11, forward strand.
CCTGAGCCAACACTAATGTCCCAAAGTGAGGGAAAAAATTACAGATAATCTAGGTTAAAACATGCTTGGGACTGACTATTCTGAAGGTGACATGATCATAGGTCATAACTGCCCTTATTCTTCTAGCTCATGCAGGCTCAAGCACAGGGCTGTTTGATGAACTCAGGTCCCAAGCACAGATAATGGAGAGACATAAATACTTCTTATAATGAAATATACTCATTAGGAATTACAAATGATTTTTTTCAGTGACAATGTTTATCACATATTGTTTATCATTCCTTTTCCTTCTGCCACTTTTATAAGAAGCTGATCACACTCTGCAGGAAGGTACTATGTCTTGTTTATCATGTGCTCCTTACCCCATACTAAATGCCCAATATGTGTTTGTTGACTTGAATGAAACCAACCTAAAGTATAACTGAGTTTTAAAAATGTGACCCATGTTGAAAACTTGGCAATATAAATCTAAGTGTGGAAGTGAAACCATTTCATTTTGAATATTGCAATGACTTTTTTCAATTCTTTGAGGACAGAGGCTATGTCCTCTTCATCTTTGCATTTTCAGTGGCTAAAATATTACTGAGTGCATAGAGGGTACTTATTTAATGCTCACTGAACTGAGTGAAATAGAATTGAATTTTTTTGCTAGTCTATAGCAAATCATTAGTACCTGGGCAGCCTTCTACTTCATGCAAACCATTTGCAAATCTTTACTGTCTACTCTCCTATTTTTAGAAGAAAGCAAACAAATTGACTTTGAAGTAATTTCCTCAGCTTTCCCCCATCTAACCTATTAGATAACTTCTAGATGTGCCTCGTTCTCAGCATCAGCACAGATCTTATCTTGGTATCATTCTTGGATTTTGAGTTTTAAATTATTTACTTTAAGGGAGTAAAAGATTTACAGTAATAAAATTATTTGTTGGAAATGAAGGAGGCTCTCACTTACAGAACAAGGAAGTAACCCCCCAGACACAAACATAAAAGTCTCACAGGCTGAACTTAGCTGAAAGCCCTGTTGATGAGCTTTAAGGGAATTTGAAACCTGGCATAATAAAATCACACCCCTGAGTTTTGCAGGAATGATTACTGCACTGTAATATGTATTGTACTCAGATACTTAGATTAAAGATATATTTTTATTTTTATTTTGTTATCAATTATGCATCCAGAAGAGAAATTTTATTACTAATGGAACCATTGAAATAGATACCTAGAGGAGTGGATGGATCACTTTATTTCTTGTCAGGTTCTATATTAGGCTTTCCAAAGCCCATTAGAGTATTTGTCTACTATTGTTATCGTTGTGGAGTAGTGTACCTGGGGGAAATCTGTAAAGGGGAATGAATAGGCCTGAATTCTATATCTGATTCTGACTTTCCTTGCTGTATATTTTTAGACAAGTAACCTTACACCAGTACCTGGTCCATTCCACAACAGGGGAATATCTCATTTAGATTTTCATACCTAAGACATTACCTTATTTTCAAGTAAACACTATCAGTTTTTTTTTAACAGAGGCATAATTTTATCTTCATGTTAGTTATTGGACTGGACATATAGTTGAGAAAATAGAGCTACTTTTTGCTCAAGGCTTAAAAGCTGTGAAATGGTGGAACTGGCATTAATAATTGGCTTTGGAACATTTGTAGCCAAGGTACTTTTCTCTTGCTTTGTAATTGAGCAACTTGAGATTTATGAGTGAATGAAATGCCTAACTTCTGGAAGGACTCAAGATCTGATTTCAAAAGAAATGATTTTAAAACATTTCAGCTCTTGAAAAATCAAATGAAGAATTAGGATAGTGGTTCTCAAAGTGTGGTCTCCAGACAAACAGCAGCAGCATTACCTGACAACTGGTAATTGGTAAGAAATTACCTGACAACTGGTAAGAACTGATGTTCTCTGTTCCCACGCAAGACCCACTGCATCAGAAACTCTGGGGGTAAGGTCCAGCAAACTGATTTAACAAGACTTCCTGTTCTCTAGGTGATTCTAATGCCTGCTCAAATTTCTGAAGCACTGCTAGGCATAGGGAAAGACTTTAGACCCTGTAAAAGGGTGAATGTGCTTTAGAATTTCTTATTTCCAGCCGTGTGATGACCAACGTAGAGGTCAACTATGGGAGAAAGTACCACTTTCAGACCCAGATCAGGTCAAAAGCAGGATGGGGCCTTTAAGAACCAGTAGCCCCTGGGGACTCTAGGACCAGCACAGAGCACCCAGCTTTTCTGAGAAATTTCGGGACATTGGAGCTCTTCAGGTTGTACACTTAGCCTTCGCAATTTGAATGTGGAGGCGTTGCTATAATCAGAATCTGGTTTGGGTTGGAAGCTGTTTGGGATTTAATGTTTATCATCTGAGGCCTAGAAACAGACTTGCTTCACTTGAAGTTCTCACTAAACAATAACTCACATTGTTCTGGAGTTCTCACATAACAGTAAAGGCATTGAGCTCATTCAAGTCCAAGTATAACAGAGTCACTTTGGGCAATATTTTTTTGCACTTCTTTGAGCTGTGACTTTCCCTAACTGAGAAGTGGGTATATTGATATGTATTTGAAGAAAAACTTTGAGATTGAAGTTAGAAAATGTTTGTGAACTCACTTCTGAGTTGTAAAGAACTTTAAAAATGTAAGATATGAATGAGTAGAGGTGGTATGAGTTACTACATCTCAAATAGGATCAGATAGCAACATTTTTGTGGCTTCAAAAGCAGCACCATTTGTTTATTAACATTATTTTGCTTAATAAAGCAGTATTCTTAATTATGGCAAAATTTAGAAATAATTCTATGGAATGTGATGAAGCTATTTTCACTTTGAATTAAAAAAAAAATGGGCCCTACACTCTGTCCCTCACTCACTGCCAATGACCTGTCTCACTGTGCGCACGCCCCGCTGCAGCCCTGCAGAAATGCTTCAATTACCCACAGTATTTTTTTTTTTTTTTTTTTTTTTTGCCAAATAAGACTGGTGTCCAGGGTACTGAAGCCTCATCTTCCTCAGGCTGATGCCAAAGATGTAAACTTTGGTGCAGATGCCCAAAACTTAATGCTTCAAGGTGTAGGCCTTTTAGCCAATTCTCTAGCCATTACAATAGGGCCAAAGGGAAGAACAGTTATTATTGAAGAGAGCTGAGGAAGTTCCAAAGTAAAAAAAGATGGTGTGACTGTTGCAAAGTCAATTGACTTAAAGGATAAATATAAAAATATTGGAGCTAAACTTGTTCAAAATGTTGCTAATAACACAAATAAAGAAGCTGGGGATGGTATCACCACTGCTACCATACTGGCATGCTCTACTGCAAAGAAGGCCTTGAGAAGGTTAGCAAAGGTGCTAATCCAGTGGAAATCGGAAGTGTGTGAGGTTAGATGTTGATACTGTAATTGCTGAACTTAGGAAGCAGTCTAAACCTGTGACAACCCCTGAAGAAATTGCTCAGGTTGCTACAATTTCTGCAAAGGGAGACAAAAAAAAATTGGTAGCATCATTTCTGGTGCAATGAAAAAGGTTGGGAGAAAGGTTGTGCTCACAGTGAAAGATGGAAAAACATTGAATGATGAATTAGAAATTACTGAAGGCGGCCGGGCGTGGTGGCTCACGCCTGTAATCCCAGCACTTTGGGAGGCCGAGGCGGGCGGATCACGAGGTCAGGAGATCGAGACCATCCCAGCTAAAACGGTGAAACCCCGTCTCTACTAAAAATACAAAAAATAGCCGGGCGTAGTGGCGGGCGCCTGTAGTCCTAGCTACTTGGGAGGCTGAGGCAGGAGAATGGCGTGAACCCGGGAGGCGGAGCTTGCAGTGAGCCGAGATCCCGCCACTGCACTCCAGCCTGGGCGACAGAGCGAGACTCCGTCTCAAAAAAAAAAAAAAAAAGAAAAGAAAAAAGAAATTACTGAAGGCATGAAGTTTGATTGAGGCTACATTTTTCCATGCTTATTAATACATCAAAAGGTCATAAATGTGAATTCCAGGATGCCTATGTTCTACTGAGTGAAAAGAACATTTCTGGTGTCCAGTCCATTGTACCTGCTCTTGAAATTGCCAGTGCTTACCTTAAGCCTTTGGTCACAATTGCTGAAGATATTGATGAAGAAACGTTAAGTACGCTCATCTTGAATAGGCTAAAAGTTGGTCTTCAGGTTGTAGCAGCCAAAGTTTCAGGTTTTGGTGACAACGGAGCCAGCTTAAAGATATGGCTATTGCTACTGGTAGTGCAGTGTTTGGAGAAGAGGGGTTAACCCTAAATCTTGAAGATGCTCAGCCTCATGACTCAGGAAAATTTGGAGAGGTCATTGTGGCCAAAGATGATGCTATGCTATTAAAAGGAAAAGATGACAAAGCTTAAATTGAAAAATGTATTCAAGAAATCATTAAGTAGTTAGATATCATAACTAGTGGATATGAAAAGAAAAAACTGAATGAATATCTGGCAAAACTTTCAGATGGAGTAGCCGTGTTGATGGTTGGTGAGACAAGTGATGTTCAGGTGAAAGACAAGAAAGACAGATTTACCGATGTCCTTAATGCTACAAGAGCTGCTATTGAAGATGGCATTGTTCTGCTTCAGTGCATTCCAGCCTTGGACTCATTAACTCCAACTAATGACGATTTTTTTAAGTGGTATAGAAATTATTAAAAGAACACTCAAAATTCCTTCAATGACCAATGCTAAGAATGCAAGTGTTGAAGGATCTTTGATAGCTGAAAAAATTATGCAAGATTCCTCTGAAGTTGGTTATGATGCTATGATTGGAGATTCTGTGAATATGGTAGAAAAAGGAATCATTGACTCAACAAACATTGTGAGAACTGCTTTACTGCATGCTGCTGAGGTGGCCTCTCTGTTACCTACCGCAGAAGTTGTAGTCATAGAAATTCCTAAAAAAGAGAACCCTGGAATGAGTGCAATAGGTGGAATGGGAGATGGTTTGTTCTAATTCCTAGAATAGTGCTTTACCTTTGTTATTGAACTGTGACAGGAAGCTCAAAACAGTGTTCCTCAACAATAACTTTAGAAGTCAGGTGAAGAAAATGACTGAAGAGAAGGCTGGCTGAAATTTAAGAAAATCACCATAACCATCAGTTACTGGTTTCAGTTGACAATATATAATAATTTACTGCTGTCATTGCCCATGCCTACAGATAATTTATTTTGTATTTTTGAATGAAAAAACATTTGTACATTCTTGATATTGGGTGCAAGAGCCATGAACTAATATAGTGCTTTCAACCTAAATCACTGAGACGTTTTTACAGCCATTCTATTAAAATCAGGATTTTAGTGCTTGCCATCACCAGATGAGAAGAAGCAGCCTTTCTGTGGAGAGTAAGAAAAATTGTGTACAAAGTAGAGAAATATCCAATTTTGTGACAGCCTTTGCGTAATAAAAATTAGTTTAAAATTTTAAATAATGCAGCCTGAAGATATTTTTAAATTCTCCAAATTGGCTCTCATGCAAAAAAGGCTTATTCAGTACTTTTAAGGACCATTTGAATCATGGGTAAAGGATTATGTTAGATGCTGAGTGAGTATTTAAGACATAGTAGTTGACATTTGCTCACTGCCCACCATAGCCAGCTGACAATTAGGTAAGAGGGGCAACTCTTCTGGAGCACTTGAGTCTAGAAGAAAAGAGTGGCCAGAAAAAGATGTCCTAGAAAAATGGATATTAAGCAAACACCTGAAGAAAGAATCCTTTGTTTGTATTCCTGAGATGGTAATCTGTGAGTCTGCTGTGAATATAAGCTGGGTACACTGCCAAAGAACAGGGCAAAAGGAGTAGTAGCCTTATTTCTGTTCTAGCTCACTAGAAATTAAGAAGATGTCTCAGGTCAAAAAATAAAAATAAATGAACCAGTAAATAAGCTGTAAAGTTCAAGAGTATGAAGAGCAGTTTAAATTCAGTAACACTAGGTGGCAAATATGAGAGGGAAAAAGGCTGATTGTTAATTGGGGTTCGGAGTTCTAAAAACTTCTATTACAAAATAGGTTCAGGGAGTGAGAACATCAGCAAGATGGAGAAATAGAACTCTCCAATGCTTGTTCCCTGAAGAAACATTAATGCAAACAACTATCCACACACGGAAATATCTTTCCAAGTGCTAAAGAAACCTGGTGAAGGACAATAGTGTCTGGATGTAGCACAGAAAGAAAAGACGCATTGAGGAGAGTAGGATGGACATTAGCCACATTGCCCATTCTTCAACCCTGGACAGCACGGCATGGAGACAGATACTGCCTAGGAGAGGAAGAAGGAAGTGAGCACAGGACTGTGCCTCAGACTCCAAAACCAGACCCTCCTCAGTAAAATCTAGCACTGATCTGACTCCATGACCTCAGACTTGAGGCCCCTACCCAAGGACTGGGCCTCCAGGCCAGCACTAGAACCAGGCAAAGTCCCCCACCAGGCTCTAGGCCTTCCCAGTGGACTTGGTCTCCAGGCTGCCCCACTGCCAACCTGATTTCAACAACTCCAGGGTCCAAACCACCCCTAACAGTGAAGTGGCCCCCATGGACCCAGGCTTCAGGCCGACCTCAGCACCAGACCAACACTTGCAGTCCTAGTCATCAGACTGGCACCCCCAGACCCAGCTTCCAGGCCAGCTCCTGTAGGTCCTCACTCCAGCAGACCCAGGGTTCAGGCTGCCCCAATAGATTCCAGCATCTGACCAACCCCCATGGACCCAGGCTCCAGGACAGCCCCTGTATACCCAGGTAAGTGGCTATTCCCAAGGCCCCAAGACCTAGGGCAGCCCTCATGGGCCTATCCTCTAGGCCAACACCTGCATACCCAGGCTCCAGGCAAACACTAGTGGACATAGGCTCCAGGCCAGTACCAGGGTCTAATGCACTAAACCAACACCTGTAATCCTAGGCTCCAGACTGTGTCCTGTGGACCCAGGCTTCATACCAACTACAGCACTGAGAAAACCCCAAGTGCCAGGCTGGTCCCTGTGGTCCCAGGCTTCAGATGACCCAGAGTCTAGTGCTGTACCACAGATCCAGGGCCCAAGCTCAACCCAGTAGACCCCAGTAGACCCCAGTACCAGGCTAGACCACATGGACTGAGGCTGCAAGATTACCCATGAAGACCAAAGTTCTAGGCCAGCAACTGTGGGTCCATAGCCCAAACCCATCCCCACAGACTCGAGCTCCAGGCCCACTCCAACACTGAGCCAGCCTCCATGGACTCAGGCTCCAGGTCTATTCCATGCAAGATCAGCCCCCATGGATCCAGGCTTTATGCCCAACCCGCAGACCCAGGCACCAGGTTGCCTACCTGCTGACCCAGGCACCACACCAGCCTATCTCAGGACTCCAACAGCAAGCTTACCTTCAGATTATGCCAAATGGCCTGCCCAGAATCTCTAGGCAGGCTGCCTGAAGCAGCTTTTCCACACAAAGCCAGTCTGCAAAGACTGGAATAAGTCCTCACTTTCTGAATGTGCAGTCATCCATGTAAGGTAACGAAAACACAAAAAACCAAGAAGATATAACAAAACCAAAGAACACACCAAACAATAATCTCTTAGTAGCTGACCCACAAGAAATAAAGATATATGGACTGCCTGACAAAATATTCAAAACAACTTTTTTAAGGAACATAGGACAACTTCAATAAATACTTAAAAATCTTCAATAAGATCAGGAAAACAATAAAGTACCAATACTAAAAATTAACAGAGAAATTTAAGTTATTTAAAAAAATAGTAATTCTGGAGCTGGAAAATACAATGAATAAAATAAATAATGCAATAGTGAGCATTAATAGCAAAATTGATCAAGCAGAAGAAAGAACCTATGATTCTGAAGACCGGTTATTGGAAAATATAAAGTCAGAGAAGAAAAAAGAATGAAAAGGAATGAAGTAAGATTATAAGATTGATGAGCAAATGTTTGGGTTATAGGAGTTTGTGAAGGAGAAGAGAAAGATAAAGAATTAAAGTGTTTATTTAAAGAAATATTAGCAGGAAACTTTCCAACTTTGGAGAAAGATATAAATATCTAGGTACAGAAATGTCAAAATTCTCTAATCAGATTCAATCCAAACAAGATTACGCCAAGACATAATAAAATAAAGCTGTCAAAACTCAAGGAAAGAAAGAGGATCCTGAAAGTATCAAGATAAAAGAAGCAAATAACATATAAGGAAGTTCTAGTACACATAGGAGTTAATTTCTCAGCAGAGGTGTTACAGGCCAGGAGAGAGTGGGATGATACATTAAAAGTGCTGGAAAGAAAAAAAAACTGCCAAGTAAGAATACTGTACCTGAAAAAGGTGTGGTTCAGAAATAAAGGAGAGAGAGTTTCCCAGAGAACAAAGGCTGAGGGAGTTCAGTCACACCAGAACTGTTTACAAGAAATGCTAAAAGAAGCACATCAGCCTGAAAAAAAAAAGGATACTAAAGAGTAACACAAAAACAGCTGAAAGTATAAAACTCACTGAAAAAAGTATATACACAAATTCAGAATACTTTAATACTGTAAAGGTGATGTTTAAATCATTTATATCTTTACTATAAAGCTGAAAACACAAAACTATTAAAAATAATAGCTATAGTGATTTATTGTGGTATATACAACATAAGAACATGTAAATTACAACATCAAAAATTTATTTTATTTTATTTTTTTACTTAACATTTTTTTTTATTATACTTTAAGTTTTAGGGTACACGTGCACAACATGCAGGTTTGTTACATATATATACATGTGCCATGTTGGTGTGCTGCACCCATTAACACGTCATTTAACATTAGGTATATCTCCTAATGCTATCCCTCCCCTCTCCCCCACCCCACAACAGTCCCCGGTGTGTGATGTTCCCCTTCCTGTGTCCATGTGTTCTCATTGTTCAATTCCCATCTATGAATGAGAACATGCGGTGTTTGGTTTTTTGTCCTTGGGATAGTTTGCTTAGAATGATGGTTTCCAGCTTCATCCATGTCCCTACAAAGGACATGAATTCATCCTTTTTTATGGCCGCATAGTATTCCATGGTGTATATGTGCCACACTTTCTTAATCCAGTCTATCATTGTTGGACATTTGGGCTGGTTCCAAGTCTTTGCTATTGTGAATAGTGCCACAATAAACATACGTGTGCACGTGTCTTTATAGCAGCATGATTTATAATCCTTTGGGTATATACCCAGTAATGGGATGGCTGGGTCAAATGGTATTTCTAGTTCTAGATCCTTGAGGAATCGCCACACTGTCTTCCATAATGGTTGAGCTAGTTTACAGTCCCACCAACAGTGTAAAAGTGTTCCTATTTCTCCACATCCTCTCCAGCACCTGTTGTTTCCTGACTTTTTAATGAATGCCATTCTAACTGGTGTGAGATGGTATCTCACTGAGGTTTTGATTTGCATTTCTCTGATGGCCAGTGATGATGAACATTTTTTCATGTGTCTGTTGGCTGCATAAATGTCTTCTTTTGAGAAGTGTCTGTTCATATCCTTCACCCACTTGTTAATAGGGTTGTTTCTTTTTTTCTTGTAAATTTGTTTGAGTTCATTGTAGATTCTGGATATTAGCCCCTTGTCAGATGAGTAGATTGCAAAAATTTTCTCCCATTCTGTAGGTTGCCTGTTCACTCTGATGGTAGTTTCTTTTGCTCTGCAGAAGCTCTTTAGTTTAAGTGGATCCCATTTGTCAATTTTGACTTCTGTTGCCATTACTTTTGGTGTTTTAGACATGAAGTCCTTGCCCATGCCTATGTCCTGAATGGTACTGCCTAGGTTTTCTTCTAGGGTTTTTATGGTTTTAGGTCTAACATTTAAGTCCTTAATCCATCTTGGATTAATTTTTATATAAGGTGTAAGGAAGGGATCTAGTTTCAGCTTTCTACATATGGCTAGCCAGTTTTCCCAGCACCATTTATTAAACAGGGAATCCTATCCCCATTTCTTGTTTTTGTCAGGTTTGTCAAAGATCAGATACTTGTGGATATGTGGCATTATTTCTGAGGGCTCTGTTGCGTTCCATTTGTCTATATCTCTGTTTTGGTACCAGTACCATGCTGCTTTGGTTACTATACCCTTGTAGTATAGTTTGAAGTCAGGTAGCGTGATGCCTCCAGCTTTGTTCTTTTTTGGCTTAGTATTGACTTGGCAATGCAGGCTCTTTTTTGGTTCCATATGAACTTTAAAGTAGATTTTTCCAATTTTGTGAAGAAAGTCATAGGTAGCTTCATGGGGATGGCATTGAATCTATAAATTACCTTGGGCAGTATGGCCATTTTCATGATATTGATTCTTCCTATCCATGAGCATGGAATGTTCTTCCATTTGTTTGTATCCTCTTTTATTTCATTGAGCAGTGGTTTGTAGTTCTCCTTGAAGAGGTCCTTCACATCCCTTGTCAGTTGGATTCCTAGGTATTTTATTCTCTTTGAAGCAATTGTGAATGGGAGTTCACTCATGATGTGGCTCTCTGCCTGTTATTGGTGTAGAGGAATGCTTGTGATTTTTGCACATTGATTTTGTATCCTGAGACTTTGCTGAAGTTGCTTATCAGCTTAAGGAGATTTTGGGCTGAGACGATGGGGTTTTCTAGATATACAATTATGTCATCTGCAAACAGGGACAATTTGACTTCCTCTTTTCCTAATTGAATACCTTTATTTCTTTCTCCTGCCTGATTGCCCTGGCCAGAACTTCCAACACTATGTGGAATAGGAGTGGTGAGAGAGGGCATCCCTGTCTTGTGCCAGTTTTCAAAGGGAATGCTTCCAGTTTTTGCCCATTCAGTATGATATTGGCTGTGGGTTTGTCATAAATAACTCTTACTATTCTGAGATATGTCCCATCAATACCTAATTTATTGAGAGTTTTTAGCATGAAGGGCTGTGGAATTTTGTCAAAGGCCTTTTCTGCATCTATTGAGATAATCATGTTGTTTTTGTCATTGGTTCTGTTTATATGATGGATTACATTTATTGATTTGCATATGTTGAACCAGCCTTGCATCCCAGAGATGAAGCCAACTTAATCATGGTGGATAAGCCTTTTCATGTGCTGCTGGATTTGGTTTGCCAGTATTTTATTGAGGATTTTTGCATCGATGTTCCTCAGGGATATTGGTCTAAAATTATCTTTTTTTGTTGTGTCTGTGCCAGGTTTTGGTTTCAGGATGATGCTGGCCTCATAAAATGAATTAGGGAGGATTTCCTCTTTTTCTATTGATTGGAATATTTTCAGAAGGATTGGTACCAGCTCCTCCTCGTACCTCTGGTAGAATTCAGCTGTGAATCCATCTGGTCCTGGACTTTCTTTGGTTGGTAAGCTGTTAATTATTGCCTCAATTTCAGAGCCTGTTATTGGTCTATTCAGAGATTCAACTTCTTCCTGGTTTAGTCTTGGGTGGGTGTATGTGTTGAGGAATTTATCCATTTCTTCTAGATTTTCTAGTTTATTTGCATAGAGGTGTTTATAGTATTCTCTGATGGTAGTTTGTGTTTCTGTGGGATTGGTGGTGATATCCCCTTTATCATTTTTTATTGGGTCTATTTGATTCTTCTCTATTTTCTTCTTTATTAGTCTTGCTAGGATCTATCAATTTGGTTGATCTTTTTCAAAAAACCAGCTCCTGGATTCATTGATTTTTTGAAGAGTTCTTTGTGTCTCTATTTCCTTCAGTTCTACTCTGATCTTAGATATTTCTTGCCCTCTGCTAGCTTTTGAATGTGTTTGCTCTTGCTTCTCTAGTTCTTTTAATTGTGATGTTGGATGTCAATTTTAGATCTTTCCTGCTTTCTCTTGTGGGCATTTAGTGCTATAAATTTCCCTCTACACACTGCTTTGAATGTGTCCCAGAGATTCTGCTATGTTGTATCTCTGTTCTCATTGATTTCAAAGAACATCTTTATTTCTGCCTTCATTTCGTTATGTACCCAGTAGTCATTCAGGAACAGGTGGTTCAGTTTCCATGTAGTTGAGCGGTTTTGAGTGAGTTTCTTAATCCTGAGTTCTAGTTTGATTGCACTGTGGTTTGAGAGACAGTTTGTTATAATTTCTGTCCTTTTACATTTGCTGAGGAGTGCTTTACTTCCAACTATGTGGTCAATTTTGGAATAGGTGTGGTGTGGTGCTGAAAAGAATGCATATTCTGTTGATTTGGGGTGGAGAGTTCTGTACATGTCTATTAGGTCCACTTGGTGCAGAGCTGAATTCCATTCCTGGATATCCTTGTTAACTTTCTGTCTCGTTGATCTGTCTAATGTTGACAGTGGGGTGTTAAAGTCTCCCATTATTATTGTGTGGGAGTCTGAGTCTCTTTGTAGGTCTCTAAGTACTTTCTTTATGAATCTGGGTGCTCCTGTATTGGGTGCATATATATTTAGGATAGTTAGCTCTTCTTCTTGAATTGATCCCTTTACCATTATGTAATGGCCTTTGTCTCTTTTGATCTTTGTTGGTTTAAAGTCTGTTTTGTCAGAGACTAGGATTGCAACCCCTGACTTTTTTCGTTTTCCAATTGCTTGGTAGATTTTCCTCCATCCCTTTATTTTGAGGCTATGTGTGTCTGCACGTGAGATAGGTTTCCTGAATACAGCACACTGATGGGTCTTGACTCTTTATCCAATTTGCCAGTCTGTGTCTTTAAATTGGAGCATTTAGCCCAATTTACATTTAAGGTTAATATTGTTATGTGTGAATTTGATCCTGTCATTATGATGTTAGCTGGTTATTTTGCTCGTTAGTTGATGCAGTTTCTTCCTAGCCTCGATGGTCTTTACAATTTGGCATGTTTTTGCAGTGGCTGGTACCTGTTGTTCCTTTCCATATTTAGTGCTTCCTTCATGAGCTCTTTTAGGGCCGGCCTGTTGGTGACAAAATCTCTCAGCATTTGCTTGTCTGTAAAGGATTTTATTTCTCCTTCACTTATGAAGCTTAGTTTGGCTGGATATGAAATTCTGGGTTGAAAATTCTTTTCTTTAAGAATGTTGATTATTGGCCCCCTCTCTCTTCTGGCTTGTAGAGTTTCTGCCGAGAGATCAGCTATTAGTCTGTTGGGCTTCCCTTTGTAGGTAACCTGACCTTTCTCTTTGGCTGCCCTTAACATTTTTTCCTTCATTTCAACTTTGGTGAATCTGATAATTATGTGTCTTGGAGTTACTCTTCTCGAGGAGTATCTTTGTGGCGTTCTGTGTATTTCCTGAATCTGAATGTTGGCCTGCCTTGCTAGATTGGGGAAGTCCTCCTGGATAATATCCTGCAGAGTGTTTTCCAACTTGGTTCCATTCTCCCCGTCACTTTCAGGTATACCAGTCAGACATAGATTTGGTCTTTCCACATAGTCCCATATTTCTTGGAGGTTTTGTTCATTTCTTTTTATTCTTTTTTATCTAAATTTCTCTTCTTGCTTCATTTCATTCAGTTCATCTTCCATCTCTGATACCCTTTCTTCCAGTTGATCATATCGGCTACTGAGGCTTGTGCATTCATCACATAGTTCTTGTGCCATGGTTTTCAGCTCCATCAGGTCCTTTAAGGACTTCTCTGAATTGGTTATTCTAGTTAGCCATTCGTCTAATCTTTTTTCAAGGTTTTTAACTTCTTTGCTGTGGGTTCCAACTTCTTCCTTTAGCTCGGAGCAGTTTGATCATCTGAAGCCTTCTTCTCTCAACTCATCAAAGTCATTCTCCATCCAGCTTTGTTCCATTGCTGGTGAGGAGCTGCATTCCTTTGGGGGAGGAGAGGCACTCCGATTTTTAGAATTTTCAGTTTTTCTGCTTTTTTTTCCCCCCATCTTTGTGGTTTTATCTACCTTTGGTCTTTGATGATGGTGACGTACAGATGGGTTTTGGTGTGGATATCCTTTCTGTGTGTTAGTTTTCCTTCTAACAGTCAGGACCCTCAGCTGCAGGTCTTTTGGAGTTTGCCGGAGGTCCACTCCAGATCCTGTTTGCCTGGGTATCAGCAGTGGCGGCTGCAGAACAGCAGATATTGGTGAAAGGCAAATGTTGCTGCCTGTCGTTCCTCTGGAAGTTTTGTCTCAGAGGAGTACCCGGCTGTGTGAAGTGTCTGTCTGCCCCTACTGGGGGGTGCCTCCCAGTTAGGCTACTCAGGGGTCAGGGACCCACTTGAGGAGGCAGTCTGTCCATTCTCAGATCTCAAGCTGTGTGCTGGGATAACCACTGCTCTCTTCAAAGCTGTCAGACATGGACATTTAAGTCTGCAGAGGTTTCTCCTGCCTTTTGTTTGGCTATGCACTGCCCCCAGATGTGGAGTCTACAGAGGCAGGCAGGCCTCCTTGAGCTGCAGTGGGCTCCACCCAGTTCAAGCTTCCCGACTGCTTTGTTTACCCACTCAAGACTCGGCAATGGCAAGTGCCCCTCTCCCAGCCTCGCTGCCACCTTGTAGTTTGATCTCAGACTGCTGTGCTAGCAGTGAGCGAGGCTCCGTGGGCATAGGACCCTCCGAGCCAGGCACGGGATATAATCTCCTAGTGTGCCATTTGCTATGACCATTGGAAGACTGCAGTATTAGGGTGGGAGTGACCCAATTTTCCAGGTGCCATCTGTCACCCCTTTCCTTGGCTAGGAATGGGAATTCCCTGACCGCTTGCGCTTCCTGGGTGAGGTGATACCTCGCCCTGCTTCAGCTCAGGCTCGGAGCACTGCACCCACTGTCCTACACCCACTGTCTGACAGTCCCCATTGAGATGAACCCGGTACCTCAGTTGGAAATGCAGAAATCATTCGTCTTCTGCGTCGCTCATGCTGGGAGCTGTAGACTGGAGTTGTTCCTATTTGGCCATCTTGGCTCCACCCCTCCAAAAATTTAAAATACATGAGGGAGGTGGAGAAAAGTGTAGAGCTTTTTTTTTATGCAATCAAAGTTAAGTTGTTATCAACTTAAAATAGCCTGTAATAACAATAAGATTTAAGAAATAATCCTCATGGTAACCACAAAGAAAAAAACCTATAATAGGTATGCAAAAGATAAAATCAAGAAATCAAAGCATACCACTAGACAAAATCACCTAATCACAAAGAAAGACAATAAAAGAGTAAAGACAAAACAAAAGATCTGCAAAACAAACATAAAACAGTAGCAGTAGGTTTTTATATATCAATGCCTACCTTGAACTTAAACGAATTGAATTGTCTAATCAAAAGACATAGAATGTGTACATGTATAAAAGACAAGACACAACTATATAGTGCCTATAAGAGACTCACTTCACATTTAAGGACACACATAGATGAAAAGTGAAGGGGTATAAAAGATATGGATGTGAATGGAAAATAATGGGGAGCAGAAATAGGTACACTTAAGTCAGATAAAATGAATGTTAAGTTAAAACTGAGAAAAGAGACAAAGAAGGTCATTCTATAATGAAAGAAGGGTAAATTAAGGAAGTGGATATAACCATTGTAAAAAAATATATATATATATATACGCAACATTAAAGCATCTAAATATATAAGGTAACCCCATCCTAGAGCATTTTCTCATCTCTGTATCTTCAGTGTCTGGAAAATAGCAGATATGGATGAGTAAGTAAAATAAGATTACCACTTATGTAATTTTTTGGAAAGGATATTTAAACCTCTAAATGTTTATAACAAAAAAACTTATAGATTTTGGATCAAATATTAAGTCTCTCTGTGTGTGTGTATACACATATACGTAAGACTTAGTTTCTTCACCTATGAAATGGGATCATTGTGGGCATATACCGTTTTTATAGAGATATTGAGATTAGTTCATTAAAATCTTTAAGATGGATTGATATCCTCAAATAAAAAACTTGAATCATTATAATCCATATTATTATGAATAGTTAATATTATAAATTATGGCATATCTGTAATAATAGGCAAAAATGATTTATGGGGCTATAATAATTTTTGCAAGGCATCATAAAGGGTTATAAAAACCACAAGAGTAAAGCTTGAGTGGTTGTGATCACATACACCTAAAATAGAATTATTGCCTCATAATTCAAAATCCCTATACCTTTTATTCTTTCTGGTTATAAACTGCCCAAGGGATGAAATTGGCTCCTCAGGTCCTAACCAATCCAATTTAATTGGTTAGACTCTAAGTCTATGTGACCAACAATATCCTTGCTTCAAATAATTGCAGCATCTTGGAATATTAGAGTTGGGATTAATCATTGAGATCTTCTAATCCAGTGGTTCTCAAGTCTGGCTGTGCGTAAGAATCATGTAGCAGCTTTAAAAATTACTAATGTTTAAAGTGCCATTAGTCTGAAAAAAAAAAAAACTGTAAAGCTGAGTTCAGGCGTCAGTATTTTTAGAAGGCTACACTGAATTTTAATGTGAGAGCCTCTGATCTTGTTCAACCCCCTATGTTACAGATGACTCACACAGATCTAGAGAGGTGACAAGAGAGGCCCAAATGACTGGCTGTCAGAATCAAGTTAAAGTCTAATTCTTGTGACACCTGTGTTCTCATTACACTAGAGATGGCAATGAGTGTCCAGTTGCTATGCTCACTCTGATGGATTGATGATGGCTTCCTGCAATGCTCTGATGAGAAGGTTTCTGTAGCTGCACATGTCTTGGCAGGAGAGAAAGTGCTGATTGATAACAATGTCCACTGTGGAGTTAGGGCCCAAAAGTGGTGTTAAGGGTTTGTCATCCTTATACTCTCTGCTGCAAATTTTCAACAGCTCCATTCACTTATCTACTGTAATCTTTTTCATTCTTAGAGCTTTTCTGGTTAATGGAAGTAGAGTGTCCAAATGCCTGCCTTTAGCATATCATGCTTAAATATTGAGCAAAAGAAAAGAGCATCTGGAAAGGAGAGGCAGACATCCTAACTTTTTTCGGACTCATATGATTATTCTAAGTGCCTCTGACAGATCCTTGGTCAGCCCGTATGTATTTCTTTCAGTTTGTGGGCTTTGGCTCAGTGCTATAATTGACCAAAATATTGGTAGCCTTGATAAAAACAGACCTTGTCATAAAAACATTAATACTTAACCTCAAGATATTCAGGCTTTTTATTGGCCTCCTAAAGTATTCTCAAGCTCTCTGTGATGAAAGATCATTTTTTGAAAAATTCCAATTCCTTGTGGATTGATACTTTTGTAAAATATAACAAAAATGATTACTAGGATAATGAAGTAAAAATCCCAAAGATATACAGAAGCCAAGCTTCAATTTTTAAAATAATTATATTTAAGACATAATGAGTGTGTCAGTTGCTATACTCATGTCTTAATGCTTTCTCTCGGGTTTAATCATTATCTTATCACAGATTGGATAGAAACATTTCATAGATGAGCACCTGTCAATGGATCACACTTTGAGTAGAACTAGTCTAGAGCTTGTTTTTCTCCAACTACAGCTATAGTCAAGGTGACTGATTGTCCCAGGGGCCTAAGTCCTTGAGTATTCCTGGCCTCTAGGAGAGAAAATTGGTATGCATCAATTACTCAGGTTCTGTGACATAAGCAGTTTATCCAAATCCTAGACTTCTAAGAACATTAATTGAAATATACACTTGAAAATAAAATTCAATATATGCATTGCCACATAAGATGCTTTGGTTCTCTCTCTTTAAGCATTCTTTATCTGGATAACGTTACATAATTAGAGATGGTTGATAATTATTATTTTACTCCTGTGCACAGGAATACACAAAATATTTGGCACAGACTGCAGAAGATGGCTCATTTAAAAGTCAACCATCTGGAGCATCGAACAACTGCGTCCTACAGGCTGCAGTTCCTTCCAATGACTTTGGAAGGATTGGCTGTCCTCTGGGAAGTGCAATGGTTTCTCTCAAGGGTCAGCAAACTTTTCTACAAAAGGCCAGATAGTAAATACTTTAGGTTTTGCTGTCCAAACGTAGTCTCTGTTAAATATTCTTGTTTTGTTTCATTTTGTTTTTTACAACCTTTTAAAACGGTGAAAATAATTCTTAGTTTGAAAGCTGTACTAAAGAGGATATGGGGTAGATTTGGCCCACAAGGAATGGTTTGCCAAACCCTGATTTATCTCCTGGTAACACTGGAAAGCCAGCTTTTTCGATTCAATTGTCTTGATATTAGTTATCTATTTCTACATAAAGAATTATCCCCAAACTTAGCAGCTGAAACTAATATTTGTTATTTTACACTTCCATGAGCCAGAAATCTAGGTGCAGGTCACCTGGGTGCCTCTGCCTCTATGTTGCTCCAGAGGTCAGTTGAGTTGATAGTCTGAGCTGCTGTCCCATATGAAGATTTGACTAGTGGGGAGGATCCACTTCCAAGATTACTCATGTATTTTTTTTGTAGGTCTTGGTCTCTTGACACATTAAACCTCCATAAGGCTGCCTCATGACATAGCAGCTGACTTCCCTCTGAGTAAGTGATCTGAAAGAGTGATAGTAATTAAGCAAGGCAGAAGCCACAGTCTTTTTATACCCTAAGCTCAGAAGCAATGTCCCGTCACTTCTGTTGTGGAAACTAACAAATCACTTCACCCATACTCAAAGGGAAGGGATTCCACAAGGGCTTGAATACCAGAAGGCAGTGGTCATGGGGGTCACCTTAGATTCTGCCTATTTCAATGGCTAAATCGCTTTTTATCAGTTTCAACAGGATACACATCCCTCAATTACGATTTTATAATACCATCTGGTTTCTACCATAGACTTATTATACTGTTATTGTAATTAACACCATGACATGTAAAGATATATTTGAAAGGCACAACAGGAATTTTTATTTTTGGACAGTTAACTATACAAATATGCTTTCTAAGTTAAAAAAGGTAAGAAATTATTTCTCTATGCAGTAGGCTTTAGAGAAATTGATGGAAGTGGCAGTGAAACTGAGAAGACTTTGGAATAGCTTTAAAATGAACATTTAACACTAGGCACCTTGAATTTTTAAAATATTTTCCTAATCTAATCTAATTTACTACTTACAATCTAAGATAGTTCAATTTGATCCCCATTTTATAGATGGGGAAACTGAGGCAGGCAGATGTTGGGTAAGTTAGCCTAAATTACACAGCCAATAGGTGATGGAGCCAGGATTCAGAACTGGGTTTTCTGATCCCAGAGCCCTCACTGTCTTTAAGACACAAACACAGTCACAGAAACTAAATATAAATTGACAATTGGAAATAGTTCTTATAATAAGTCAATACACTTACCAGTTAAAATACCACACTAAGACCTTTTATGAAAAATATTTTAAGGTGGTCACTGGCCTCAGTGATAGAGGAAATAAATAAAAGTAGTCACCACTTTGATATTATTGGTTTTCTACTAAATATCATGGAGAAAAAACATCAATGAGAACTTACTTCTCCATCTTGAAAGGAGCATTTCTAGGAAGATGCCCACATTTTCTAATTCAAAATCTATAATTCTTATACAGAACAGATTCCTGCTGCTTGTGGTAGTCCCACGAGAACTCTATCTGTATAATGCAAGGATTCCAGAAGCTAATGTGTGTGGAAATGCACCATCTTATTTCCGATGTTGATAAACAGTTTATGGAGCTATGTCATCATACGAGTTTTTCATCAATATTACTCAGATGGTATAATATCACTGATGATGAGACTGACATCAAGAAAGAATTATTCTAGAATAAGCACAGATATTAAGCTGTTAAAAAAAACACTCTGGAGGAAAGCTCCAAGATGGCCAAATAGGAACAGCTCCAGTGTACAGCTCCCAGCATAAGCAACACAGAGGACAGGTGATTTCTGCATTTCCAACTGAGGTACCGGGTTCATCTCACTGGGGCTTGTTGGACAGTGGGTGCAGCCCATGGAGTGTGAGCTGAAGCAGGGCAGGGCATCACCTTACCTGGGAAGTGCAAGGGGTCAGGGAATTCCCTTTCCTAGCCAAGGGAAGCCATGACAGACAGTACCTGGAAAATCAGGACACTCCCACCCTAATACTGCATTTTCCCAATGGTCTTAGGAAATGGCACACCAGGAGATTATATCCTGCCCCTGGCTCGGAGGGTCCTACGCCCACGGAGGCTTGCTCACTGCTAGCACAGCAGTCTGAGATCAAACTGCAAGGCAGCAGAGAGGCTGGGGAAGGCGCGTCCACCATTGCTGAGGCTTGAGAAGGTAAACAAAGTGGCCAGGAAGCTTGAACTGGGTGGAGCCCACCGCAGCTCAAGGAGGCCTGCCTGCCTCTGCAGACTCCACCTCTGGGGGCAGGGCATAGCTGAGCAAAAGGCAGCAGAAACTTCTGCAGACTTAAAAGTCCCTCTCTGACAGCTTTGAAGAGAGTAGTGGTTCTCCCAGCATGGAGTTTGAGATCTGAGAACGGACAGACTGCCTCCTCAAGTGGGTCCCTGACCCCCAAGCAGCCTAACTGGGAGACAACTCCCAGTAGGGGCTAACTAACACCTCAT